>NC_000007.14:10000-237846 GCF_000001405.40 Homo sapiens | reverse complement strand
CATCATCACTATCACTATTACCTCTACCATGATCATCACCTCCACCATCATTATCATCCTTATCAACATCATCATCACCATCACCATCATCATCATTATCATCATCTACCATCATTACCATCCTTCATCACCATTATCATCATTATCACCATTAGCTCTCCCATGGCTATCATCACTATCACCATCAGTATCACCTCCACCATCATTACCGTCATTGCTACCATCATCATCACCATCACCATTACCTCCATCATCATCACCACTATCACCACCACTCCTACCATGGTCATCACCACCAACGTAACCGTCATCATTTTTACCATCGTTATCATCATCACCATCACCATTATCTCCATCATCACCATCACTATCATCACAATCACCATCAGCACCGTCATCACCGTCATCACCATTATCTCCACCACTGTTGCTGTGAACGCATACTGCACTATTATCACCTGAGGTACAGTGACAACGTTGTGTGATGCTAAAATGTGAGCTTTTCTATCTGCCGATGATTCGGCCTTTGTCCCTCTCTCCTTCCCCTGCCTACTCCTCTGAGCAGTTCATGCACGTGGAATCCAGGTGGCTCCAAGACCTGCTGCACTGAAAAGGGACCAGGCCCTGCCTCGAGGCCAATCTGATTCTAGCACAGTTCCTGATCCCTGCATTTCATACCTGGGGCTTTCCAATGACGCTGGCTGTTCACAGAACAAGCAGTTCTATTCCCAGCCCCGAGGCAGCCTGTTCTGGGATCCTCACAGCTTTGACATCCAGGCCAAGCCAATCTGCCTCACAGGCCACCTGCGGGCTGTCCCTGGCTTCTGGATGCCCCTTTTCCTAGAACAGTCCAGGAAGTTCAGAGACGTGGTGATGACACGCTTTCTGTCCATGTCCCACTCCTGGAAGAGGCTCTGAAATGCTCCTGGAGTCTTCTGCCCTCTGGCCACGCATCCAGATGAGCCCGACAGCCACCGGGACCCCAGATTCCAGGGCACCCGCCTCACCTCCGCATGAAACCCCGACCATAACCCCGACAGCCACCGGGACCCCAGATTCCAGGGCACCCGCCTCACCTCCGCATGAAACCCCGACAGCCACCGGGACCCCAGATTCCAGGGCACCCGCCTCACCTCCGCATGAAACCCCGACCATCAACCATCCTTATCATCATCTCCACCCTCAAGTTCTCTGCTGTGCCCTGTGAGATGTCCCTTGGCCCATGAGGGGAGCAGAAAGAGTGCTTGCTGGGTGGCCCTAGGCCTCAGTTTCCCTTTCTGCAGAGTAAGAAGTGGGAGCAAGACGATCCCAGGGGGTCCCCAGGTGAGGGCGAGGGGAAGGGGGGAAATTTTTGCAGCCAGTAAACGCCTGAGAAGATCGGGTCTACTGGTGACAGCAGGAGGCAGCTGTGGCTTCAATCCCCTGGCCTAGCCACGCAGGCTTCTCAGAGCCAGGTGGCTCACAGGGGCTGCAACGGACACCTCAAGGGTTGCCAGAAGCCAGCAGTGCTGGACAGCCTGGGAAGACTGGGATGTTTCTCCCTGCACCTGCAAGGTTGAGAGGAGAGGGGCGTCCTCGGCGGAGACCAGCAGGCCGACTCTCACCTCGGCCAGGAGCCGCTCGGCCTCTCACCTCGGCCAGGAGCCGCTCAGCCTCCCTTCTGCACAGGGATCAGGAGGGGATGCTGCTGATTCAGCCCCCGGGAAAAAGGCTTTGGAAAAGTACTGAACCCTCTGCACGGAAGGGGACGAACTCGGCCGAAGCGGTCACCTGGCAGCCTCTCCTTCTTCCTGGGCGCCCTGACAGAAGGTATGCCAGGTGAGGAGGGCAGGTGACAGGCATGGTCTCCTTTTCCAGGAGTCAGGGTTTGAAATGTGGAAAGATGTTATCAGATCCAGCGGGGTTAGCCGAGCAGCAGAGCGTACCGTGGCTGGGGGAGACAGGGCAGTCGCCCAAATGTTTCCTGGAACAGGAATGGTCAGTCCAAAGCATGCTGGGAGCCCTGGGCCCAGGCCCAGAAGTCACAGTCCTCACCAGCATGGTCAGCCTGCCAGGAGACTACCAGCGAGTGGGACAGGTGGGCAGCCCCGTCCACCACTGACCCTCCATGCAGCCTAGGCCAGACAGACCGTCCCTCCCAGCAGCAAGCTGAGCTGACCGGCTGCTCCAGCAACTCCAAGGCCGCGGGCCCCACCCGAGCGGGAGGAGACGGCGCTGCCACTCAGGGAAGCGCCAGCTACCCAGGACCTCCTCGGCAGGGCTCAGGGAGGGGGTCTGGTTTTGCTTTTTATGTGACGATAAACAAAACATCACATTCGAAGAAGGAAATTATTAAAACAAACAAGCTGACTATGTGCAGGGTGGAATAGAACTTCACCTGCCCGGGGGTTGGGGGAGGTGCATTTGTCCTGAGACTCACACCTGCAGCCCCTCACGTGGACGTAGGTCTGGTTACTGCAACCCACACTCATGTCACGGGCTCCACTGGGCTGCAGGGTTGAGCTCACAGATCGGCAGTCCACGTGCGTCCGGCATTTCAGAAGGCGCCGGATACCCCAGACCGTGGAGGCAGAAGACACCAGCATGCTCAGTGTAAACAGTTTGAAAATGCCACAGCCTGGGCTCAGTGTAAACAGTTTGAAAATGCCACAGCCTGGGCTCAGTGTAAACAGTTTGAAAATGCCGCAGCCTGGGCTCAGTGTAAACAGTTTGAAAATGCCGCAGCCTGGGCTCAGTGTAAACAGTTTGAAAATGCCGCAGCCTGGGCTAACGTGATGTGACATTTCTCTCATTTTCAACACACAGGGAACTTCCGAGAAGCAAGTGGCCCGGGGCCCATTCCTGGCATGACTGTGGCCCATTCCCTGCCTAGCCCCACCCTGTCTGCCTAGCTGCAGGGTTGCAACGCAGCTGAGAGGGGTGCTGGCCTGAGGGCTCCTGGAAAGGGGGTGCTGAGGTCCCCATGAGACATGCAGTGCCGTGGGCTTCTCGGGACTCATCTCGGAGAAACGGCAGGGATGGGAGCTCGCTGGCCCACAGAGGGAGGGCCTGGGCTGGGGCTGTCCGTCCCAAACCTTCCACGTGACTCTGCCAGAAGGACAGCCTCAGAGCGGGAAGGACAGGGCAGATTTTCAACACCCGCCTTTCTGTTCTTCCTAAGTCACTCACTGAACTGTGCAGGAAGGAGCCACATGCTGAGGGCAGACACAGGGCCCGGGGATGCCCCGATGGTGCCGGGGACCACAGACCCCATGCAGCAGCTACTCCTCCCCAAGCACCTTCTCGGCAAAGCCTCCTGTGTCAGACACGAGAGACACCCACAGCCTGCGGCCCCAGAAGACCAGGGCTCAGAGGAGTCCCGGTCCTGGCACGCCGGCCCTGCCCTCGGCCAGCCACCCCCGATACAGGGAGTGGTCGGGGCCTGGGACCCCCCACCACTGCCTGTGAGGCGAGATCAAGCTGCACCCGGCCACGCCCAGCCTCAGTCGTGGGCAGCAAGGAAGACTTTTAAAGGCTGACTTCACAACTCCCGACTGGGCTTGTCGCCCTTGTAAAAGCCCAGCTGAGGAAAGAGGCCCAGGACGCAGCTCTGAGGTCAGCGTCCCACTGAGGGCACGAGGAGGGGGACTCGGCAGAACCGGGTGAAATCCTGGCGGCCGAGCCCGGGAAGGCTCTCGTGCTCTCCTCCTCACGAAGGAAGGCCCCACAGGCGTCACGCCTCCACTTGCCGGGACGGCCTCCCTGGGCCTCAAAGGGCACCAGAAAGGCAGGGGCAGGAAGGCAGCCCCCAGGGGGGCACTGAGCAGCCGTGATGCCCACATCTTCTGGGGTCTGCCCAGGACCAGTTCCCAGGAGCTGCCTGCAGCCCCCAACACCGTGCATCCTTCTCTCCCTCCCCCCAGAGCTGGCCACACCCAAACCCCTTCCCTTAGAAGGATTTCCCTCAGCTCTGAAAAACAACACAGGAGGTGTACTAATTGTGGTTATTCATACTAAAGTAGGAATGACGACTGAGCTGACCTCTCCCAGGCCTTTCGTGGCTGGCAGAATAACGGTCCCCCAAAGTTGTCCGCATCTGAACCCCAGGACCTGTGACTGCTGCCTCGCGTGGCGGGAGGCACAGTGCAGATGTGACTGAGGCTCTGGGGAAGGAGAGACCACAGCGTCCCTGCAAGAGGGGCCGAGGGAGACCTGACTTCAGAAGACGCTGCGCGGCCGGCTCTCAGGATGGAGGAGGGACCCCAGCCGCCAACGCAGGCGCCTCCAGGAGCCGGAAGGGCCAGGACACGGCTCCTCCCTGAGCCTCCCGGGGGAGCTCAGCCTGCACGTCCTTTTAGACCCCTGCACTCTGGGCTGGGAAGAGGATGCTTGTGTTGTCTGAAGACACTGCGTTTGCCGTGATTTGTTCCAGCAGCCAAGGAGGGGAATACAGGATACCCAGCCACACGAAGGCAGGGCAGATGGACACGGTGATTTAGTCCCAGCTGGAAAGGCTGTGAAATTACGACCTGTTTCCTCCAAATCCAGTCAGGCCATCAATGCTAAGGCTCATGACACTTAGAAAACCACACAGAATGATCGAGAGAAGGCACTGCTGTTCACAAAGGAGCCAGAGAGAGGGTGACAAACACCACACGTGCATCCCCGGGCCAGGCGACGCGTCCTCACGGGAGCCCCCATGGCTCTCGCGGCTGCCCCCATTTTAAAGACAAGGAAACCGAGGTCTGGAAGGAGACAGAGGCGTCTGCAGAATCGCACGGCCAGAACATGGCACAGCTTGGACGGGAACCAGGAGTCTGACTCAGGCCTGTGATCTTTTCTTCAGGGCCCTCCAAAAACCACACACCAGCTCCTGCTGTTCCGAACGTCCGTGTTTCCTCCCGGATCTGGGCCCCTCTCAGGAAGGCTGGGGCTGCAGGCCCAGAGGTCTGCAGAGGACCCATCCCTGGAGAGGTCCTGGCTCCAAGAGGATTCGTTGTTTCTCCGAAATCCAGGGCTCCTTAACAACTGTGGCTTCAGCGGGAGGGACACCACGCCGGGTGCCCCGTCCTGCAACGCACACGATCCCGGCACGGCCGAGGGGCCGGTCAGCCGCGGCGCTAGGCATTCCCGGAGCTGGCCCCTCCAACTGCTGTTAGGACCACGTGGCACCTTCTCATAGAACGGTTCCCACTGTTGCTGCTAACAAACATTTCAACGCTCTTCAGTTTGTGGGAAAATAGAAAACGTTTGCTTTGGTTAAAAATAGAGGAAACTGGCAGCTTATTACCAATGCCTATGAGGGACTAGAAGCCAACAGGGATGTGGCTCTCACTCTGAGCTAAGCGCTGTGCTAAGCTGTTTGAGTGAATTGATTCGCAAAACCTTCGGGACCCCCTGCTCTACAGTCACGGAGATGGCCAGTGCAGGCAGTGACCCAGGGCCACGCGTGCAGGTGTGAGGGTTGCTCTGTCCAGGGAGGAGACGGCTCTGTGGAGCCACGGGATGTCCCTGGACGGGGTCTGAGAGGTGGGGGGCTGGGCCGCGTTCTCTCCACTGGACACATGGGAGAACAGACAGGTAGCCACAAGGTCTGCTCACCCAGGGCCACCGACTCCCACCCTCTCCAGGTGGATGGGGAGTGGGGTGTCCCCCGAGGTTTTTCCAAGAAGCATTGCAGAGGAGGCAGCTCAGGGCGTCAGCAAAGAGCCACTGTCCTTCCTTGCTCCCGCTGCTACCCAGCTGGGCCGGCGGCCGAGCAGGGAAAGGGGCGTCCAGTCTGATGAGGGAGGCAGATGCCTTCCCCGGCTCAGCGTGTCCCACAAAGCAGGGACAGCCCGACGAGGCCGACGGAACGGATGCCGGGTCGGCGGCAGAGACCAACAGCAAACCATCAGGCGGAACCCTGGGCAGGGGCGGGTGCTGGGGCCGGAGGATGGAGTCCTTGGGTGTCCTGCTCAGCACAGAGGACCGCCCCAGGCCCCTGGGCACAGATGGGAAACTGAGGCCCAAAGAGGGGTGGGTCAAACACCAACCATTCATGCATTATGGAAAACCACCACCTCCCAAACCCTGCCAGACAGGCAGAAAAAGACCCGGTGCCTGAGAGGCCGTAAGAGCTGGGAAGCCTGCACACACCGCCAGGTGCCCACTCAGCCAGACGCACGCGCCCCTCACAGATGCTCCTCTGTGCCTAAGGCCTCCTGCTCACCCTCCTGGAAACAGGCAGGCAGCCTCCTGACCACACTTGGGCTTACCAAGAACACCATCCCCAGGCCAGGCCACACAGTGCAGCTGCTGGATGACCTCAGCCAGAACCCTCCTCCCACGGAGCCCTCCACGCCAGGACCCTCCTCCCACGGGGCCCTCGACGCCGGGACCCTCCTCCCACAGAGTCCTCCACGCCGGGACCCTCCTCCCACGGGGCCCTCCACGCCAGGACCCTCCTCCCACGCGGCCCTCGACGCCGGGACCCTCCTCCCACAGAGTCCTCCACGCCGGGACCCTCCTCCCATGGGGCCCCACTGATGCGTGTCATTCACCACCACCAAAGTGTCAGTCGACGTCTCCCGCCCCGGCCACCCCGGGCTCCCCGAACATGCTGCTGCTGCTCCTGCTCTGCCCTCCAGGGGTCCTCGCTGCCCCGGAACAGACCCCCCAGCGCACCCACTCCTGTCTCCCGTCTGCATGATGGTTGGGGTCGGCCACGCCAGCCTTCCTGATGCTTGGATGGGAGGGTCCTGCTGGGGCTGCTGCTCCTGCCTCTGTACTCGCTGCCCTGGCCTGGACCACCCTGGCCTGTGTCTTCCAGCATCATCTCCCAGGCCGTCTTTTCTTTCATAGCTCACTGCATCCTCAGCCTCCTGGGCTCAGGCGAAACTCCCACCTCAGCCTCCCGAGTAGCTGGGACTATAGGACCCACCGGGGTCCAGCAGCGGGTCCACACTGAAGCCAGGTTGATGTGGCGCTTTTCCCTTCATTTACTGGTAGGTATTATTCAGTATATTATTGAGAGCAGTAAACACACAGGACTCTTCCCTTCATTAACCGATAGGTATTATTCAGTATATTATTGAGAGCAGTAAACACACAGGAATTTTCCCTTCATTTACCAATAGGTATTATTCAGTATATTACTGAGGGCAGTAAACACACAGGACTTTCCATGTGCCAGGCTCTATCCTCAGAGCTTTCTGTATCGCGACTCATCTAATACCAGGCTCTATGGGGCAGGCGTTTTTCCACCGATTTTACAGATGGGAACACTGAATCGGGGAGACACCAAGGACCTGTCTGAGGTGGCCGGCCAGGGTGAGGCATGTGGACCAGACGGCCCGGCCACCCTCCATCCACCCACGGCCCCACAGGAGCCTCGTGAAGGGCTCCTGGTGTTCCGAACGCCGGGACACAGAGGTCCAGCCACGAGGCTCTGCTGTAATAAATAACCACAGACAGGGGCACTTTAAGCCACGGGGATCTGTTCCCCCCCCCCCCCACCCCGTCCTGGGGACAAGAAATGCAAGGCTGAGCTGTGGGCAGGGCTGAGCTCCCCGTGGAGACTCTAGGGAGGATCCTTCTTGCCTCTCCCAGCTCTGGGGGCTCCAGGAGCTCCTGGGCTTGTTACTGCAGCCCTGCATCCCCTTCCCTTGGCCTCCTCCTCTGCGTTTAATCTCCCTCCACCTCCCTCTTATGAGGACAGGGGATTGCATTTTGGGCCCAGGGAAAGTCCTCATCTCGAAGTCTTTAATTTAACCACACCTCCAAAGACCGCTTTTCCAAAGAAGGTGACATTTACAGGTTCCACGGCCGGGGCCCGAGATACTCGGGGCACCTTCCAGAGGGTCGCGGAAGCGGAAGCTGGTCCTTCCCCATCCCCCTACCCCATCTTTCTATCCCATTTCTCTTGGATTCCCTTCTCCAGGGCCAAACTCAGGGAGGCCCAAAACTAGATAAGACAGACACTTTCTTATTCCTCCAAACACACTAGATCCCTGACTCACTAAATGAAGGCACGGAGGCAAAAATTAGCCTTTCTATCTTGGGTAATCTTCTCATCACTCACACAGCAGAAAACCACCACCTGTCATTAGCGAGATATATTAAGCTGTTTAATACCAGGCTTTCAGCCGGCAGAGCTCTGGAAGGTGCGGGGCTCTCCCTGGCAGTGACTCCGGCACGACCTTTTGGTCCCCGAGTTCGCGGTCCACGCTTCCTGCCCATTTCTGCGTCACTTGTTCCAGCCCCGTGGGGTAGGTGTTTGGCAAAACGCGGCCGTCTTATTTAAAACCCCTGGCACCTTGCTCATCCCCCATCTGTCATTCTCACGATGTGCCACCGCTGTGGTCTGGACTGTTTGCGTGAGGACGGCGAGCTCTCCAGCCACAGGGCTGCAGGCAGGAGGGGCCCCATTGGGCTCGGCCAGGACCTGGACCAGCTGCAGCCAAGGCCTTCCCGCTCAACACAGGAGGTCTTTTTCAGCGGCCATGTGTGAGTCAGGAGAACTGGGAATGAGAATGGCACAGGGCCCAGGAAGGACCGGAGGGCGGCGATGTGCGGAATTATTTATACACCAGCCAGAACACATTGCAGCAAAGTTCCCAGAAAATGCATTCCTCACAGAAAAGGGGGCTGCCTCATTGCACGTGGAAGGAAACTCACTTCCCACACATCGGAGCCCAGACAATCCGCCTATTTCACACAAACCCGGAGGTGCTGAAGGTTATGACGAGACCTCATCTGGACGTGAAGGGCCCCTCCTGGGTGGGACATTTCCCTGCTTCTGGTCCTAGAGTGGCCCCCGTGGGGCTGACAGGGAGGCATCTTGGTGGTGGGGGGGTGGGGTGCGTGGGTGGGGCAGGGTGTGGCCCGACTACGGGTCCTGGTGTCGCTACTCACCCTGGCTGTGATCCCCATCCATGAACAAGATGCCTGGTGGGCGGTCTTGGAAGGGGCTCCCAGTGCTGAGTTTGAGGAGGAGGAATCCCCAGCGTGGGACCCTCCAGCCAGCATGCAGTTGTTACAGGTCAGGACTACAAACACGTTGAGGAGGCTGCCCGGGACCCCACTCATGCCGTCAGCAGGAGCCGTGAGAGTCGTGGCGTCTGTTCAGTCAGGTCACTCTTGGTGGAGGATGTGGGATGGACCCACAGGTGCCGTGGAGGCTGGCAGCTGTGCTGAGATGCTAAGGACCTCAGCTCCAGGCACCAGTTGTCCAAACCTGAGCTTCTTGTTGGGACAGGTCATTCCCCTGGCTCACACCGGCTCTGTGGAAACGCTGCCCTCAGAGGAGAGCTGGGGGTGTAGGCAGCGGGCGTCTCCCCTTCCACCCTCCACAGCCCCCATGGCAGTGTCAGCCTCTCACAGGGGAGGGACAGGGACACGGACCTGGCTTGTTGACCCCACACTGAGCCGTGACACCAGCCCCCTGGGTGGCCAGTCTTGGGGGTCTCCTCAACCCAGCAGAGGGGCCTGAGTCCTCACAGTCTGAGACAGCCACACTGACAAGAGCCCCTGTGATCTAAGGACTAGAGATTTCCAAGCTTTTCCAATGAACCTGCCTTCTTCGGAACCCATGGGGACAGGCAGCACTGAGCCAAGACCCTGCCCAGGGCAGGGGTCGCCTACTGACCTATCTTTTATTTTCTCAGAATTTCTCTGATTGGCCACGGGCCTCATCACAACCATGCCAGGCGGATGGCTTTCCCCCCTGGTGTTTCGTTACGCAGGCACAGGCCTGTGCGCCTGACTGAGCCCGCCGTCCCCCATCAGCTCTGACGGGTCGCTGTGGTGCGGCTAAAGGGCTTCAGAACCATTCAGGTGAACCCTAGGACCCTCCTAACCGGCCCCAGGTACCCCTCCCGGGTCTGCAGGAAACCTCTGCGCCAGCTCTTCAACGTGAGACACAGAAGAAGGAGAGAATCATTTCTTTGGCTGGAAAATCATCTCAGAAGAGGCTCTTCAACCTCTTACGGTCAATTTAATGAAAATCCATTTTAAAATGATTCAGTGATTTGCAACTGTAAAAGTCTGAAGTCATTTCCACTTGAAAACAATTGCGATGGTTTAGACTTTATTTCAAAAGCAAACGGGGAAAAAGAATTGCTTGAAAGTCTCAGACCCACTGTAGTTTTAAACACGCTACTGTCGGCTCATCCAGTATTCATGGACAGGACTCAGGGAAGTACGACTAGACTGGAAATGAACGCGGGCTCCCCGGTAGCCTGAAAACACAGGTGCAGACATCTTTCCTATGAAACCCTTGTGATGCTTCCTTTCATTTCAAAGTAATAAAAGGGTAAGCTGCTACTAACTACTAAACCAGGATTAAATATTGAGCACCAAGGTTACTGTTACAATCTTGTTTTTCCTCCGTGGAGCCCTAGATGTTTAAAAAAAACATCAGTAAGAAAAATAAACTAAATGCATAGTTAGGGGCTAGTGTTTGAGCCCGTTCTCTGCTTGTCTAAGGAGATCTTAAATCTGCAGTTTCCTTTTTTGGCATTAAAAACAACCAGACCTGAGCAAACTGCTTTTGAATGAAATCCCCTGGCTTCCATTTTCGTCCCCAGTACGAGGAAAATGAAGGCCATATTTTCTTTCCCGTCCTTTTAATCTTCCCTCCCTTTCGTGACAATTAGAACGATGGCCCACACACTAGCGGCACCCCGGCGACCGTCATAACTGGAGAAAATACAAAAAGACCCTCGATATTGCCGTTCTGGGGAATGCTTTTGGAAAAAAAAAATGACTTTCCTTGATTTTCAACAAATGGGGTAATCTTTTCCAGGAGACCCCACGGAAACACACATCCTCAGTCGGCCAGGGTCGGACGGCCTGGGGAGGCTGAGAAGGCCTAATCGGAACAGCCGAGGGGAGGGTGCCAGTGTGGGCTTGGACGGCTGCAGGGACGGGCCTCAGCTTCCCCATCGGTAAAGTGGGTGCAGGGCCCAGAACCGCACTCTCTGAGGGTTTTGCTGTTTTTACCATTTATTCATTTCCCTGTCAGATTCTCTGCAATGGTTACATAATTGTTAATAATTTCCTTTTACTTATTAAGCAAAGAAATGTCTAGCTGCCAGGTGAGGGCAGGAGAAGACAGCTACCTTCTGTGGCCAGCCTCAGTTGATGTAACTTTGGCCACCAGTAAATCATCAGGGTGTCTGGACAAGCCAAAGTGACCTCAGAGGCCAGAGGCTCCAGCCCGGGCGGATTCGGGCCTGTCGTGGGCAGTGGGGTGGAGCGGCCGCCTGTGCCCGTCCCCACAGACCTGCGAGAGGGTGGAGTCTCTTAACACCACCTGGTATCGGGGCCACGACCGGGGGGCACACGGGGCCACCTGAGAGGCCCAGCCGGGCGGCCGTGTGGCTGCGGGACAGCGACTCCCTCCTCCCTGAGCCTTGGGCCCTCGTCCTTGGCTGGTAAGCGCTGGGACTCTTGTGAGGGTGACTAGGCCTTGTGGCACGCCCCTCTGAGTCAGCCCATGCAGGAGACACGCTGTTAACGTTGATCTGTTTTCAAACCTTCCACCCCCTGCACTGTGACCCTCCAGGGCCCCTCCTAGCCGGTCTTCTCCAGGGACTCAGACAGCTTAGCCGGTCACGAGGCAGAGGAAGGGAATCCGTCCTCTGTGGTGGGACATGGGGTGCGTGGACACCAAGAGGGCGGCCTGCAGTGGGCCCAGGCTGAACCCAGTGGGTTTGGGAGGTGCAGCTCCTTCTCCAAAGGCCTCCATCGCACTCCAGGCCACACACCCTAGCAGGTCAGGTGAGCCCTGGTGTCTGACCCCCAAGATCACCCCTGCTTCTTCTCCCATCCGGTCTCATGGAACTCAGTGAAACCCAGGTTGTTCTGCGCAATGAGAGAAGGCTCAGGGGACAGCCGCCGTGCGACCCCATGAGGGTGCCATTCTGCGCAATGAGAGAAGGCTCAGGGGACAGCCGCCGTGCGACCCCGTGACGGTGCCATTCTGCTCAGTGAGAGAAGACTCAGGGGACAGCCGCCATGCGACCCCCGTGACGGTGCCATTCTGCGCAATGAGAGAAGGCTCAGGGGACAGCCGCCGTGCGACCCCGTGACGGTGCCATTCTGCTCAGTGAGAGAAGACTCAGGGGACAGCCGCCATGCGACCCCCGTGACGGTGCCATTCTGCGCAATGAGAGAAGGCTCAGGGGACAGCCGCCGTGCGACCCCGTGACGGTGCCGTTCTGCTCAGTGAGAGAAGGCTCAGGGGACAGCCGCCATGCGACCCCCGTGACGGTGCCATTCTGCGCAATGAGAGAAGGCTCAGGGGACAGCCGCCATGCGACCCCCGTGACGGTGCCATTCTGCGCAATGAGAGAAGGCTCAGGGGACAGCCGCCGTGCGACCCCGTGACGGTGCCATTCTGCTCAGTGAGAGAAGGCTCAGGGGACAGCCGCCGTGCGACCCCGTGACGGTGCCATTCTGCTCAGTGAGAGAAGGCTCAGGGGACAGCCGCCGTGCGACCCCGTGACGGTGCCGTTCTGCTCAGTGAGAGAAGGCTCAGGGGACAGCCGCCATGCGACCCCCGTGACGGTGCCATTCTGCGCAATGAGAGAAGGCTCAGGGGACAGCCGCCGTGCGACCCCGTGACGGTGCCATTCTGCTCAGTGAGAGAAGACTCAGGGGACAGCCGCCATGCGACCCCCGTGACGGTGCCATTCTGCGCAATGAGAGAAGGCTCAGGGGACAGCCGCCGTGCGACCCCGTGACGGTGCCGTTCTGCTCAGTGAGAGAAGGCTCAGGGGACAGCCGCCATGCGACCCCCGTGACGGTGCCATTCTGCGCAATGAGAGAAGGCTCAGGGGACAGCCGCCATGCGACCCCCGTGACGGTGCCATTCTGCGCAATGAGAGAAGGCTCAGGGGACAGCCGCCGTGCGACCCCGTGACGGTGCCATTCTGCTCAGTGAGAGAAGGCTCAGGGGACAGCCGCCGTGCGACCCCGTGACGGTGCCATTCTGCTCAGTGAGAGAAGGCTCAGGGGACAGCCGCCGTGCGACCCCGTGACGGTGCCGTTCTGCTCAGTGAGAGAAGGCTCAGGGGACAGCCGCCATGCGACCCCCGTGACGGTGCCATTCTGCGCAATGAGAGAAGGCTCAGGGGACAGCCGCCGTGCGACCCCGTGACGGTGCCATTCTGCTCAGTGAGAGAAGGCTCAGGGGACAGCCGCCATGCGACCCCGTGACGGTGCCATTCTGCTCAGTGAGAGAAGGCTCAGGGGACAGCCGCCATGCGACCCCCGTGACGGTGCCATTCTGCGCAATGAGAGAAGGCTCAGGGGACAGCCGCCGTGCGACCCCGTGACGGTGCCATTCTGCTCAGTGAGAGAAGGCTCAGGGGACAGCCGCCATGCGACCCCCGTGACGGTGCCATTCTGCGCAATGAGAGAAGGCTCAGGGGACAGCCGCCGTGCGACCCCGTGAGGGTGCCGTTCTGCTCAGTGAGAGAAGGCTCAGGGGACAGCCGCCATGTGACCCCGTGACAGTGCCGTTCTGCTCCGTGAGAGAAGGCTCAGGGGACAGCCGCCGTGCGACCCCCGTGACGGTGCCATTCTGCTCCGTGAGAGAAGGCTCAGGGGACAGCCGCCATGCGACCCCGTGACAGTGCCGTTCTGCTCCGTGAGAGAAGGCTCAGGGGACAGCCGCCGTGCGACCCCGTGACGGTGCCGTTCTGCTCCGTGAGAGAATGCTCAGGGGACAGCCGCTGTGAGACCCCCGTGAGGGTGCCGTTCTGCTCTGTGAGAGAAGGCTCAGGGGACAGCCGCCGTGCGACCCTGTGACGGTGCCATTCTGCGCAATGAGAGAAGGCTCAGGGGACAGCCGCCGTGCGACCCCCGTGATGGTGCTGGCGGGCCGGGAGCCCGGGGCAGACACAGGACGGTCCTGGGGTGGAGGGCCGGGCAGGCTCAGGGGTCCCAGGTGCCCCTCAGGGGCAGCACCCATTCAGCCTCCTCGTCCTTCTGTGCTTCTGAGATGCCTGGGGCAGGGGACCCCATAGAGTCTCTCGAAAGCTCATTTCAGGATTGTTCTTCAAATGAAAAAAGTTCATTTTTCTTCTGACTATAAAAATAAGCCAGGAAACTGGAAGCAACGTGAACGTCCTCTACCTGGGGCCGGCAAGGCCAATGCCGGGACCACCTGCGGCATCCGCGTAAGGGCCCCTCCCTGTGACTGCAGCTGCAGGCTGACCCCTCTGCAGGCACCAGGTGCCGTCCCCACGGGGCTCGGTGCAGCAGCCGGGACGCCCCACACACAGACGAGCCGGCTGCAGACGTCACTTGCAGGGACATGTCCGCCCCACGGCATCTGCCCCACCATGTGCCCGCCTGCCCCTCTGCTCCTCCTGCATCCTTTGCAGTGGTTGCCTCTGCGAGGCCCACAGCCACCAGGACAGCCCCGGAGAGCGAGACAGACGGGCTCCTTGGCCTCTACCCCGGCAGGCTCTGTGATCATTCACTTGCTCAGAACCACACATCGAGCCCCTGCTATGTGGCTAGTGCTGCGGACACAATGCTGAGCTAAGACTCAGCACCCACCCGCCGTGGAGCCTGCAGCCCAGCGGACGATCTGACAACACGGAAATCCCCACGTCTCCATCCCTGTGAGGCTGGGACAGCTGTACACGCCCACACTTCAGGCTTTGGACAGAAGGGAGCTCGCCCCAGGCCCTCTCACTGAGAACTGGGGACCAGCCCTGGTCCCATCTGCCCTTCATAGGAACACACACGGGTTCCATTCATACACACGTGCACACTCCCCCACATTCACATAAGCCTACACACACGTGCATGAGTGTGCACACACACGCCCTCACATACACATGCACGGGCACACACACGTACAGATGCCCACACATGCACCCACACAGCACCTGCATGACAACAGATGAACGCCCTCACACACACATGCACACGTGTGTACACACACCCACACATGCACACCCTTACACACGTTACACATGTACACGTCACACACGCACACCGACACGTGCACCCACACAGGACATGCATGCACACACATGCCCTTACACACTCATACACATGCATACACAGGCAATGCACACCCACACGCTCACCTACTCATACACATGAGCACATGCTCATGCCCACCCCCAGCACCAAGCAGCACTCCAGGCACTCTGCCTGCCACGGTGCTGCCTCCCCTTGTGCTGGGCTGCTCTCCAGCCTTTGGTTGGCACCTCAGGGCCCCTCACTTCCGCTCTCCAGCCTTTGGTTGGCACCTCAGGGCCTGTCCCTTCACCTCTTGCTGGGATCCTGGCCCCAGGGTCTCAGAGCCCCCAGGAGGGGCAGGGCCTCCGTGGACACCTGTGCACTCCCCTCTCAGTGCCAGCCCTGGGCCTGGGGGGTTCAGGCCGTTCTTCACCAGGCATCTGCTTCCTGAGCCTGTGCCAGGGCAATCCACTCCCTTACTGAGGGCCTGCAAGTCTGGGGACCACAGTGGGGGCTGACGGTGACCCCAGCTGCTCTCAGTACCCAACTGCAGCACTGGGCTCCTCTGGACACCCAAGTCCCTCCATCCTCACTGCCGGGGGCTGGACCAGGCCTGCCCTGACTCTCACAGGGCGCTCACTCTCCACTGACCCATAACACCCACTGAGAAGCTTTCTAAGAAACAAAACACAACAGCACAGCTGCCCTGGACCTCCAGACATCCCTGCGTGGCCTCCAGCCCTGCCCTGTCTCCTGACTTGCGCACTTCTGGCTCCCCACAGGCCCCTCCCTCCCGGGTGCCCAGATGCTAAGAACGGCTCCTGCAGCCCCCTGCCCTGCTGGAGACGAGGCTCCGCCCTGTGCCCAGATGCTAAGAACGGCTCCTGCAGCCCCCTGCCCTGCTGGAGACGAGGCTCCACCCTGTGCCCAGATGCTAAGAACGGCTCCTGCAGCCCCCTGCCCTGCTGGAGACGAGGCTCCGCCCTGTGCCCAGATGCTAAGGACGGCTCCTGCAGCCCCCTGCCCTGCTGGAGACGAGGCTCCGCCCTGTGCCCAGATGCTAAGGACGGCTCCTGCAGCCCCCTGCCCTGCTGGAGACGAGGCTCCGCCCTGTGCCCAGATGCTAAGAACGGCTCCTGCAGCCCCCTGCCCTGCTGGAGACGAGGCTCCGCCCTGTGCCCAGATGCTAAGAACGGCTCCTGCAGCCCCCTGCCCTGCTGGAGACGAGGCTCCGCCCTGTGCCCAGATGCTAAGAACGGCTCCTGCAGCCCCCTGCCCTGCTGGAGACGAGGCTCCGCCCTGTGCCCAGATGCTAAGAACGGCTCCTGCAGCCCC
Organism: Homo sapiens; assembly: GCF_000001405.40. NCBI lineage: Eukaryota > Metazoa > Chordata > Mammalia > Primates > Hominidae > Homo > Homo sapiens. Next base: position 221,565 of record NC_000007.14, on the reverse strand, counting down.
CTGCCCTGCTGGAGACGAGGCTCCGCCCTGTGCCCAGATGCTAAGAACGGCTCCTGCAGCCCCCTGCCCTGCTGGAGACGAGGCTCCGCCCTGTGCCCAGATGCTAAGAACGGCTCCTGCAGCCCCCTGCCCTGCTGGAGACGAGCCTCCGCCCTGTGCCCAGATGCTAAGAACGGCTCCTGCAGCCCCCTGCCCTGCTGGAGACGAGGCTCCGCCCTGTGCCCAGATGCTAAGGACGGCTCCTGCAGCCCCCTGCCCTGCTGGAGACGAGGCTCCGCCCTGTGCCCAGATGCTAAGGACGGCTCCTGCAGCCCCCTGCCCTGCTGGAGACGAGGCTCCGCCCTGTGCCCAGATGCTAAGAACGGCTCCTGCAGCCCCCTGCCCTGCTGGAGACGAGGCTCCGCCCTGTGCCCAGATGCTAAGAACGGCTCCTGCAGCCCCCTGCCCTGCTGGAGACGAGGCTCCGCCCTGTGCCCAGATGCTAAGAACGGCTCCTGCAGCCCCCTGCCCTGCTGGAGACGAGGCTCCGCCCTGTGCCCAGATGCTAAGAACGGCTCCTGCAGCCCCCTGCCCTGCTGGAGACGAGCCTCCGCCCTGTGCCCAGATGCTAAGAACGGCTCCTGCAGCCCCCTGCCCTGCTAGAGACGAGGCTCCGCCCTGTGCCCTGGGCCCACCATCCGGGCTCTCACTTCTCAGGCATGGGAGGCCTCCTGTCCTTGCTCCCCAGGGCGTGACGGCTGGGTGCCCAGGGAAAATGCAGCTGACCGCCCCAGGCCTCCTATGCTCGAGCACCAGATGACCTGCCCACCACGTGGAGCTTCCTGTGTGCACGGGTCCCGCCCTCCCTCCGGCCTCTCTCCCCTGCACACGTGGCCAGCACAGGCCCTTGCAGGAATGTTCCTCTCCAGACCGCCCCCTGCTGCCGACCATGCCATTCAGGTCTCAGCTCCAACGCCGCCTCCTAGGACTTCCCCAGGCGGTGCCTACACAGAGGTCATGCTTAACTCAGTTTGTGGGAGAGACCCCAGAAGGTCAGTGGAACAACGCCCCCTTCACCAAGCCCGTCTCTGCCATGCTCCTTCGTTTCAGTCCCTCCACGCATCACCCCTCTCTGAAACGTTCCTGCGTATTTGTTCACGTGCGTTGACCACGCCCCCCGGGAATTTAAGCTCCACTTGAGGTGGGAACCTGCGTGAGCAGCATCCCCAGCCACAGCAGGCGCCCAGTGGGTGGGCCCAGCGACTCTGCTGGGCAGGGCAGGGGTGAGAGGAGAATGGACTTGGCCTCTGCTCAAGGGCCTAATTTCCTGAGTTTATAAGGGACAGGCTCTCAGGCAGGACCCAGGAGGCCACTTCCATGCCAGGAGCCAGCAGCTCTGGGCACAGGGACCCCACCACAGCGAGGGCAGCATGTGGGGGTCCCGGCAGCTTCCAATGAGGTGGATCAACCTTCCTGCAAGGGGTCTTGGCTTGGCTTCCCCCAGGGAGTCAGCAGGAGCTCCTGAGTGCCAGGCAGCTTTGCCCAGCCAGACCCAGGGTGAGGAGCGGGCTTGGAGGCCGGCCCACACCCAGTGTGGACACAAAGGGGTCCTTGTCCAGGTCTGGTCAGGCCCAGGCCTCTGCTGGGTCCACACCCACCCAGCCCATTGGGCAATCTGTTTGCCTTTGGAACCGGTGAGGCCACAGTGGAGAGAAACATGAATTTTTATCAGCAGAACAGAAAATCCTTCGAAATTCCAAACCGATCCCTCACTGGTCCTCAAAACCATTTTGTTTCCCCGAGCCTTAGTTCATGGGCTCTAGGAGAAGAGCCAGTGTGAGCCCAGCTCCCCTGCCCTCCCCGTCCTTACCCCGGCCCTGGAGGCCAGGTCCCTGCCTGGCAGGATTCACCCAGGAGTCTCTGCAGGACACCCTGGGCTGACTGCTGGACAGTCCTCTTGGCCAGAATTGCTTTTCCTGTGGCTCCCAAGGCCTTCAGCCAAGGCCCCAGGAGGGGTCTGCACAGCCACAGCCGAGGCACCTCCTGCTGCTTCAGGTACCGGATTCGAAGCCAAGCCCCCACTCTGAGAGGGAACGCGCCTCCCTCAGACCCCGCCGACAGCCCTGGCTGGGCGTTGCTGTCCCGGGCTGGCCATTGCTGTCCTGGGCTGGGCGTTGCTGTCCTGGGCTGGCCATTGCTGTCCTGGGCTGGGCGTTGCTGTCCTGGGCTGGGCGTTGCTGTCCTGGGCTGGGTGTCCTTCACTTTTCATCCATGCACTCAGCAAGCACGGACTGTGCACATTCACGGTGGGGTTCATGCAGCGACCCCAGCCCCTCCCCCCATTCTCCACCTGTTCACCTGCCCAGCCCTGGACAACAAAGTCACATGCTCCCCTCAAACCTCGCCCCAGGTGGAGCCTGGCTTCCTGCATCACGGAGAAGGGACAAGAACCGCAGAAGGCAACCGTGCCTCCAAACACCACCACCACCCATGGTGACGACCCCAGGAGGGGCCAGCCTCTGTGCGGTGGGGAGCACTGGGGAACCCTCACTTTATGTCCTGTCTGAGCCACTAACAGGTTCTGAGCAAGTCCCGTCCATGCCACTGGGTTTGGGCTGGACCAGAGTGATCTGTCCGTCCTGGGCCCGTGTCAGCTCCCGGCCGGACGGGAGTGATCTGTGCGTCCTGGGCCCGTGTCAGCTCCCGGCCGGACAGGAGTGATCTGTGCGTCCTGGGCCCGTGTCAGCTCCCGGCCGGACCGGAGTGATCTGTGCGTCCTGGGCCCGTGTCAGCTCCCGGCCGGACGGGAGTGATCTGTGCGTCCTGGGCCTGTGTCAGCTCCTGTCACCTCTCCCACCTCGGTTTCCCAGTCTATACTAATCAATAAGCATTGGCTGAGTGAGCCCTGGGATGGAGGAGTGACCAGCCCTGTCCTCGGCTGGGCCACGTGGTGGACACGGGTCATGTCCAGAGAGCCAGGAGGCGTCAGAGCGGTGGTGAGGCCGCACAACGATGCCCACACACTTGTCACTCAGACCCTGCCCCGCCCTCCCTCTGACCAGGCTTGGAGCTTGGCGTCCCGGCCTCCCTTCAGCTCCCCGGCTGGGCCACGAGCTTACCAGGACATTGAGCAGGTCGTGCAGTCCCGTCAGAGGGGCCACACCCGAGGGTCAGTGCGGGTGAACTGAGGAGGCAGCACGCAGCGCGGCACTGGACGGAGGCCCCGCAGGACACACGGAGGGACCCTCCAGGACGGGAGCACCGGAAAGGGGCCCCGGCTGCCAGGAAGTGCTGAGCCCAGGCCTGCAGGGCGAGGAGCTGCCGGAAAGGCCCCACAGCCACGTGGTGAACACCTAAATACTTTGCTTCATTGAGAAAAGCAGCCAGTGTGGTTGTGGCTGGGCTTGAGCTGCCGGGTGAACGCTGTGGCCTGCCTGGCAGCTCGTGTGACCCCGTTTCACAGACGAGGAGGCTGAGGCCCGGGGAAGTTCGAGAGCCAGCCCACAGGCAGCAGGCCTGAGCGTCCAACCCCTACCCCACCACTCCTGGCCTCACACGTCCTGCTAACAAAGCATCCCGGGGCCGACGGGGACGGGCAGCCCTCGGCCCACTGTACAGGACCCCAGGTAGCTTATCGAACAGGAACATCAATAGAACATCAATTAAAGAGCAGCTGCACCTCCTCTCCCAGCCAACGTGCACCACCATCAGCCAGGCCCCTCTTCCTCTGAGGGTGGCCGTTACGGCCAGCCCCAGCCAGGCGCTCATCGAACCTCTCAGTCCTCTCCTCGTACAAATGGAAAGCTTTGCAGTGACGCGCGGGCCCCGGGTCATTGTTCTCCCGTCTTTCTTATTAATATTGCATCTGTTTTGCCCTCTCTGGACGTGGCCACGTGGGACTGCAGAGAACCCTCAGGGCACCTCTGCCTGGCCCTAGACATGGGTGCGAGAAAGGCCTCAGAAGCCGCTTCAGGGAAAGCCGGCACCTCTCTAGGGCCGCCCTGCACCAGGCAGCTGTCTGCCATCCAGTGCATTCTAGGGACACACCTAACCTCAAGCCAAGCCCGAGGCCACCATCTCAGCACCGCCCCCCAGGATGGCCCTGAAATTCCCCCAGGTCCAGGTGCATGTTACCCCCTTGATGCACAAACAGCCAAATGCAGCTCTACCCTAAAGGGGGGCACCCGGGAGGGGCTGGAGCTCACCCACAGCCAGTCTGTGACCACCATGTCACAACCTAGAGAAAGCAACAGGAGCCAGGGATGATGACCCCAGGAGGGGCCTGGGCAAGCCTCGACCCCAATAACACCCCCACTGCACACAGGTCCCGCAGAAGGCCCCACGCAGCTGCAAGTCCGAGGCCAAAGCTGTGTCCGCCTCCCCCACAGGCCTCGGGGGGTCAGCAGCCCCAGGGCACCTGGGAAAGGTTTGTCTGAGCTGCATCTGCTCACCCCTGGGGGGCCGCTGACGGCCATCCTCCTCTTGGGCCCCTTCGCTCGGTAGAGGAGGCATCTGGCTGTGGCCCCGGAGCTGTGCCTGGGTCATAGGAAGCCAGTCAGACATGACACAGGGCCTCTTCACGCCAGTACGATGCTGCTTGGGATGAGGCCGTTCAGGGTGGGCCCCCGCTCCTGCCTTTAATTCCTCGTCACTGCTCAAGCTCTGCTGCCCGGAGACAGGCCCCAGCGGGCCATGTGTTGTCAGAGCCCGGAAGGAGGGCTAAAGTTTCTGCATCTAGAAATACTGTGTCAGCCCCGCAAGCCCTTCTGCAACTGCCTCTGTTCATGTGTCTTGGCTGGGAGGAGTTCCTGGGCCTTGGGACAGCTGTTTGCAGACAGTCTCTTTGGGAGACGTAGACGGACACACACACACACACACACTCTGTCTCACACACACACACACTCTCACACACACTCTGTCTCTCACACACACACTCACACACACTCACACACACTCACACACACTCATACACACACACACAGAAACTCCCAGGCTGGAAAGAGCAGGGAGGGCAGGTGTCTCTGGAGAAAAGATTCCCCGGCCAGCATCAAGGACCAGGGCTCCCAGCTGGCCTTTCCTCAGTGAGATGTCACCCCACAGGCTGGGAATCTACCACCAGAGGCCCTGCTCCCCACCCAGCCCCATCCTCTCCATACACCAGGGGCCCTGCCCCCCCCACCCAGCCCCATCCTCTCCATACACCACGGGCCCTGCTCCCCCCACCCAGCTCCATCCTCTCCATACACCAGGGGCCCTGCTCCCCCCACCCAGCCCCATCCTCTCCATACACCAGGGGCCCTGCTCCCCCCACCCAGCCCCATCCTCTCCATACACCACGGGCCCTGCTCCCCTCACCCAGCCCCATCCTCTCCATACACCAGGGGCCCTGCTCCCCCCACCCAGCTCCATCCTCTCCATACACCACGGGCCCTGCTCCCCTCCCCCAGCCCCATCCTCTCCATACACCACGGGCCCTGCTCCCCTCACCCAGCTCCATCCTCTCCATACACCAGGGGCCCTGCTCCCCCCACCCAGCCCCATCCTCTCCATACACCAGGGGCCCTGCTCCCCCCACCCAGCCCCATCCTCTCCATACACCAGGGGCCCTGCTCCCCCCACCCAGCTCCATCCTCTCCATACACCACGGGCCCTGCTCCCCCCACCCAGCTCCATCCTCTCCATACACCAGGGGCCCTGCTCCCCACCCAGCTCCATCCTCTCCATACACCACGGGCCCTGCTCCCCACCCAGCCCCATCCTCTCCATACACCAGGGGCCCTGCTCCCCCCACCCAGCCCCATCCTCTCCATACACCACGGGCCCTGCTCCCCCCACCCAGCCCCATCCTCTCCATACACCAGGGGCCCTGCTCCCCACCCAGCTCCATCCTCTCCATACACCAGGGGCCCTGCTCCCCACCCAGCTCCATCCTCTCCATACACCAGGGGCCCTGCTCCCCCCACCCAGCCCCATCCTCTCCATACACCACGGGCCCTGCTCCCCCCACCCAGCCCCATCCTCTCCATACACCAGGGGCCCTGCTCCCCCCACCCAGCCCCATCCTCTCCATACACCAGGGGCCCTGCTCCCCACCCAGCTCCATCCTCTCCATACACCAGGGGCCCTGCTCCCCCCACCCAGCCCCATCCTCTCCATACACCACGGGCCCTGCTCCCCCCACCCAGCCCCATCCTCTCCATACACCAGGGGCCCTGCTCCCCCCACCCAGCCCCATCCTCTCCATACACCACGGGCCCTGCCCCCCCCACCCAGCCCCATCCTCTCCATACACCACGGGCCCTGCTCCCCCCACCCAGCTCCATCCTCTCCATACACCAGGGGCCCTGCTCCCCCCCCCAGCTGGAGCCTCTAAACTCTGTGGTACGGTGCTCACTCGCTCACTCCGCCTCTTTTGTACATTTCTCTTTCACTCTGTACATAACTCCCACTGTTAACCACGCCCTGTCCTCCTGGGCCACTTTGGGAGACTGGACACACGTAGCTGCCTGTCTCCCGTGGAGCATAGGAGAGTGTAGTGACGAGGAGTGTTTAGGCAGCACCTGTGGCTGGGCCTCCCCACGTCCAGAGGTCAGACCACCTTCAGGCTTCGAGTCTGAGTCACATCTGTGTTCCCAGTGCCTGGCGGGAGGCCAGGCCCGGCACTCCGAGTTTGTGGAATGACTAAATGAATATTTCTACCTGGAGGTGGTCACAGCCAGTGTCATGGGCAGCCGCCGCATGCCTGGAAGCTTCTTTCCAAGACGCAAGATGGAATTTGTAGCCAACAGCCTGCTGGGTGCGTCCACCGGACTCAAACCCATGCTCAGTCCCCCACTTCTCCAAGCTGGAAAGCCAGTGCCGGGTCTCCTAGGCCAGGTCAAAAGGGTTCAGCCCTGCAAGCGCCTGAGACCTCTTCTTCCAACGCCCTTGTTGACAGATGGGTACGCTGAGTTCCAGGAGGTGAGGGCACTCAGTCAGGTCAAACAGCAACAGTGGCTACGCCAGGCCCGTCGCTCTGTGGCTACGTGGTGTTTCCTAAAGCCGCACCGTTCCGCTGACCGTGCCAAGTGCAGGTACCGCCTCCCGCACCACTCTTCGCCTAACACACGTGCTTTCAGCATTCAAACGTAATTACACCAAAAGCACGAGAATAACAAAAGTAACTAAATTGGACGTCCTAAAATTAAGCTTGTCCTTCACATGATACCACATATGTGGTAAAGGTCTTGTATTTAGAACATGTAAAGATTTTTTTTTTTTTGAGACCGAGTTTCACTCTTATTGCCCAGGCTGGAGTGCGGTGGCGTGATCTCGGCTCACTGCAACCTCCGCCTCCCGGGTTCAAGCGATTCTCCTGCCTCAGCCTCCCGAGTAGCTGGGATTACAGGCATGCATCACCACGCCCAGCTAATTTTGTACTTTTAGTAGAGACGGGGTTTCACCATGTGGGTCAGGCTGGTCTTGAACTCCCAACCTCAGATGATCCACCTGCCTCGGCCTCCCAAAGTGCTGGGATTACAGGCGTGAGCTACTGTGCCTGGCCAAGACGTCTTAAAACTTAGTAACAAAAAGACAAATACCCCAACTGAACAAAATGGCAAAAGCTCTGAATAGACATTTCTTTAAAGAAGACACGTCAATGGCCCGTGCCCACATGGAAAGACACTCCAATATTAGTCACCGGGACGTGCAAGTCAAAACCACCACAAAACCCCCCTCCACCCCCACCGGGACGGCCGTCATCAAAAAGCCAGACAACAGCACACGCTGACGAGGAGGTGGAGAAACTGGAACCCGGGAACGAGCTCGCAGGGTTACACAATGGTGCAGCCGCTGCAGAAAACGGACAGTCAGTTCCTCAAACAGTTAAACGCAGTTATCACGTGATCCGGCAACTGCTCCCCAGAATACATCCAAGAGAGCTGAAAATACCTGCCCTGCAAAACCTCATACACGGTTGCTCAAAGCAACATTATCCTTGATTGTCAAAAGCGGAAACAACTCAAATGCCCGTCAACAGAGGAAAGAATGAACAGCCACACCTTGGAATATTACTTAGCCATGAAAAACAGGGAGGCACCTATGCGTGCTGCAGCACCGATGAGCGTTGGAACCACGTGTCAGTCACAAAGGACTATGCAATGCCGGACTCCAGAGCCTCAGAAACGTGTCACTCACAAAGGACTACGCAGTGGACAACTCCAGAGCCCTCCATGTCACTCACAAAGGACTACACACTGCAGGACTCCAGAGCCTTGGAAACGTGTCACTCACAAAGGACCACACACTGCAGGATTCCAGAGCCCTCCATGTCACTCACAAAGAACTACACACTGCACAACTCCACAGCCCTCCATGTCACTCACAAAGGACTACACACTGCACAACTCCACAGCCGTCCATGTCACTCACAAAGGACCACACACTGCAGGACTCCACAGCCCTCCATGTCACTCACAAAGGACTACACACTGCAGGACTCCAGAGCCTTGGAAACGTGTCACTCACAAAGGACTACGCAGTGCGTGATTCCATTTGTATGAAAATCCAGAATAAGTAACTTATGAATATCAAGAAGCAGAAAGTAGGCTAGTGCTTGACGGGGGCTGGAGGCGGACAAGGGGGTTGAGGAGTGATGACAGAATGGCGAAGGATTTCTCTGTGGAGTCACGGAAAACGGGCTAAAATCAACTGCGGTGATGAACGCACAGTTCTGAGCCGAAAGCCCCCAAGCTGCACACTTTAAGTGGGTGAATCGCATGGCTTGTGAATTATATCTCAATAAAGCTGACTTTAAAAAAAGAACGTAAATATCTTAACGTAACCCTAAAGCAAAAGCACCCAGGAGCGCTTGGGTTGATGTGCCGGCTACGTGCTTTTCAGCGACTATTAGAAACGGAGACCCTAAAACTTCCCCTGGTGATCCCGCCCCCCACACGCTGTGCAGCACCCCAGGCTGGCCCCCACCTCACCGCCGGCCCCTCACCTACACCCTCTCACCGCACATCTAGCACCTCGGAGGAGAAACACTGTGCTCTCTAATTCACGACGTTGTACTAGGAACTCACCGAGCCGTGATGAGCGCAGAGAGCAAAGTCCTTTACTAAAGAAAACTTTTTTTTTTGAGACGGAGTCTTGTTCTGTCCCTCAGGCTGGAGTGCAGTGGCGTCAGCTCGGCTCACTGTAACCTCCACCTCCCAGGTTCAAGCGAATCTCCTGCTTCAGCCTCCTGAGTAGCTGGGATCACAGGCACAAACCACCACACCCGGCTAATTTTTATATTTTTAGTAGAGATGGGGTTTCACCATGTTGGCCAGGCTGCTCTTGAACTCCTGGATTCAAATGATCCGCCAGCCTCGGCCTCCCGAAGTGCTGGGATTACAGCTGCGAGCCAGTGTGCCCGGCCTTTAAAGAGAACTATTAATCATGGATTTTAACTCATTAATGCTATGGTCATGAACCACAGCTGCTTTCGTATGCAAACCACAGCCTCTGCGGAAGAAGAAACGATCATCCCCCAGGCCCTGGGCACAGCCCCCATAGGTCATCAGGGGCGCCACTGGCTGCAGGACCTCCATCAATGACAGATCCAGGCCCCCTGGTTTGCAAAGGAGGGTCGGGCACCAGCCAACGCCCTAACCTGACCTGGGGGGCGGCGGTGAGAGGACCGAGCTGGGAGGTTTGCAAAAGGTTCGCACACGCCCGCCCGCCTGAGGTGTGGGGTCCCTGCCTCCGCCCGCCACGTGCCCTGTGGGAAGACGGAGTCCCGGACCAGCCTCTGGACGCCACGGCCTTGGACGTATCCTTTCCCTTTCCGGGCCTCAGTTTCCCCAACTGCAGCAGGCTTCTCAGGCCTGTTTCCTGGCTATGCTGTAACCCGGCCCCCACCTCCCCGCTTAGCCCACGCGTCACACTGGCCTCCCCGGGTGACAGCACAGCCCTGCCCAGCCCATCCGTCAGCAGCCTCGGCCTTCAGGCAAGCTGGGATGGCAGGGCCCTGACAAACGGGTCCTAGGGAGGGGGCTCTGGAGCCTGGCGCCACCTCTGCCCGCTGCAGGACCATGGGAGGTCCCCTGACCTCTAAGGTCAGCCCCTCATGTGGCCACGCTGGGGACGTGGGGTGCCCATCACGGTGGGGGGCTGGGGAGGTTTGGGGAGGCCTGGGGAGGAAGAGGTGGAGGAGGTGAGGTGGAAGGTTGGGGGCAGGCCGGGAGGTTGGAAGAGGCTGGGGGAGGTCTGGGGGAGGTTTCGGGAGGTTGTGGGGAGGCTGGGAGGAGGCTGGGAGATGTCTAAGGGGAGGCTCAGAAAAGGCTGGGAGGGTGGAGGAGGCTGGGGGGAGGTCCAGGGAAGGCATGGGAAGGTCCGAGGGGAGGCTGAGGGAGGTTGGAGGAGGCTGAGGGAGGTTGGGGGAGGTTGGCGGAGGCTGGGAGGAGGCCCAGGGGAGGCTGACGGGGGAGGAGGAAGGGAGAAGGCTGGGGGAGGCGGAGGGTAGGTCGCGCACCCTGGGCTTAAGGGGACACTGGATCCTGGTCCAGGAGGGTCTCTACTTTCCTTCTCTAAACCCCAGTTCTCTCGTCTTTACGCAGCGGTAAGCGTCACCTCCTATAACTCACAGGGCTATGTGAGGATGGACAAACATAAAGGCTTCTGTATATAAACCCCAAGCACAGGCCGGGCCCACAGCTACCGAGTGCCCACGAGACGCCGGTTCCCGCAGGGCCTGGGTTAGAGCAGCGGCTCGGTAAATGTCACCGTTCTCCAACCACAGCTGCACTTTCCACCTCCTCAGAGATGAGAAACGGGGCCTGAGGATTCACACGGACCATGAAATAGGGGCCGGACAAGCTGGCGCCCAGGAACACTCTGCTCTCTGCGGACGGGACACAGCACTCAAGGTCCCGTAGCTCGGCGTGACGGGGCCACCCCTCCAGGGGATGCTCCTGAATGAACCTGGAAACATTTGCGAGGCTGAAAAATGCTCCCACAGGTGGGAGGCGGGAGTCTGCCTCCCCCAGCCGTGCCCGCGGCTCGAAGCCAGCTCAAGGGAGATGAAGACGCCGCCATTCAGCGACTATTCCACTCCCATTACTGCCAGCGGAAGGGTCCACGCAGCACCAGGGGAAGCTGCCCAGGCTCATTTGTCTCCTGCCCACCCCCGGCTCCACACCACAGCATCCTGAAAGGAGGGGTCTTCAAACAGCTCCTTCACGTAACCCAGGAGACCCTCAGGTCTCCGGGCGACGCCATCTCTCCTGGCTGAGCCTCCTCAACCGGGGCAGAGGCCACGAGAGGCCCAAGGAGGCTGAGTTTCACATCCACGCACAGAAACGGGGAAGGAAGTGCTTGTGATCTCAGGCCCCCCGCAGGGCTGGGCCGTGAGACCCGTGGGGGCAGCGGATCAGCTCCCGTGCGTTCATCCCACCCCTGGTAGCAGCCCTCAGCCCCAGGCCCTGAGCTCTGATGGCCTCCGTGTAATTTTGGTGAACGGCTGCTCCCCGGCCCTGTGTGAGCGTGTGAGCGGGGATGCCCTCGGCCCGGGCTCAGGCACGGGGCTGTGACTCATCCACCGGCTCCCGGCAGCCCCGGGTCTGAGGCAGGACTCGTGGGTCTTGGGGGAAGACCGGGGCAGGGCCACCTCCCTCGGTCGAGTCCCTCCAGGACATCTGTCCAGAGAAATGAGAGGCCCAGAAACCGAGCCCAGCTGCAAACATCTGCCTCCAGCCACAACTTGCAAGCAGGCAGCTATATTTTGTTTTACCTGCAAAGTATATGAAGAGCTTCTGAATTAGTTACCACCAAGATTAAAACAGGAAAAAAAAATCCATATTTCTGGCTTCTCTAGAAAGTTGGAAATCAGGCCAGATGGCCAAGATCTAGTGAGCTGACAGGCCGCTGGCCCCTTCCTGTGGGACGCCTGCCACAGACCCCACCCAGCCCAGCAGCCTTCCTGGGGTGGCCAGGTGTCCACACACCCCTCACCACGAGCTGTCGCGTGCCACGGAGCGCTGTGTTATCGGTTTTGGTGACTGACACAGTTTCTATTTTATCCAGATCAGGGCACACTGTCCACTGGACCACATCCAGCCCATTTTGTTGCATAAATGAAGACTTATTAGAACTCAGCCTCCCCCATCACCACGTACTGCGTCTGGCTGCTTTGGGGCTAGGACCACCCGCTGAATAGTAGGGAGAGACCATACACCTGCAAAGCCTGAAATAGCTGCGTCCGGCCCTTTGTAGCAAAGGTGTGCGGGCTCCGGAGGCCTGCTGGGAAGGTGCGGACGTCACCTCTTCCAGAGAGGCATTCTTTGGTGTTCACATTCCAGGTTACTTGTTTAAAATACAAATGCTTATTCTCACAGGGTAAGAATAACCAGCAGTAGGTTTTCCGTCCTATAAAAAGGGAGGAGGTGGGGAGGCCGTGGGAGAGGAGAGAAAATGAGGCCACCTCTGTTGCTCGTTTGCCATGACGGGGAGAGTTGAGAGTGGTCACCCACAGTCTCCCCAAAACACCCTGGGAGGAGACACGGCCATCCCCAGCAGAAGCCCGGCGCCTGCTCGCCTGCAGCTCCAGCTCCTCACGCCCCAGCCCACAGGCCTCGGCACTTACTTCATGGGTTTGAACAGCGCTTGCCCGTAATTCTGGAAGGTCATGATGAGCTTCAGCTGCGTGCCCCCCGACTTCATGGCTGCAGGAAGGAGGGAGAGAAACAGGGTCACTCTCTGGCCTCACGCCCCTTCTTCTCCTGTGCGGACGAGGGCTCTTGGCTGCAATCCGGGTCCTCTGGGCATGGTCCAGGGGTCCCACTCTGCCTGGGAAGTTTGAGTTTTCTGCAGTGAAGCTCTCGCCTGGCTGATGGATTCTCTGCCTGATATTCAGGGTTGAGTACTGGGGTAGATCTCTCCATGCTGACCACAGACCCAAGGGCCTGACCCCTAGAAGGGACGGCCAGGTGTGCTTACCTGGACACACACGTATAAGCCACCCACATCAGCACACACCCCACACAGCCATGTACACACCCACACCCATGTACACACACCACACCCACACACTACACATCACACACACCTACATACACTCACACACATGCACCCACAGACACAGGGCCTGACTCCTAGAAGGGACGGCCAGGTGTGCTTACCTGGACACACACGTATACACCCACACACATCAGCACACACCCCACAGTCATGTACATACCCATACACACCTACACACACCACACCCTACAGTACACACAACACACACCTACACACCCACAGACACAAGGGCCTAATCTCGACGGGACGGCCAGGTGTGCTTACCTGCAGGCAACACCTCAAACACCCACTCACATCAGCACACACCTACACACCAACAAACACCAACCTACATTTACACACCCACAGACACCCCCCGACACACCCCTACATACCCCTGCACGACCACACACACCCACGCACCCCCCTGCCCCTGCCTAAGAACGGGGAGTGGCACCTCCCGCCCGCGTTTCTGGGGAGCTACAAGCAACCTGAGCAGGGTGACTTTGGGGAGACCTGGGGCTGAAAGCACCTGTCTCATGCGAGGCAGCTCCCGCCGCTCCGCAAGGACTCGCTGGGGTGTGGAAGCCTCCAGTAGCCTCCCTCCAGCTTTGGCCACCAGGAGGCTCAAGAACTCCCAATGGGACCCTCCTCCCACCACCTCGGGATTTCCTTTTTGCTGGTGGAGAAGGAAGGGGGCTCCGGGGGGTTCCCACAGCAGGGAAGGGGCTGGCCTCGGCCTGGGGCAGCCCCGGGAGCTAAGCTGGCCACAGCGAGGGCCTCCAGGTCGCCCGAGATGGGAGATTGTCACGCGCTGTGGACCGGTAGGTCCGGGCCACGCGGGGGATTGTCTGGTGTGAGGGGGCCTCACGGGGCCACACCAGGGACTGGTCACACGTCAACATCACGGGCCCGAACAAGAGCCGGGCATCCCTGCCGGCACAGACGTAAATGGAACGTGGTGGGGTGGCATATGCGACTGCTCCGGTGCAAAGGGGAAGAGGGAAGCGGGGCGGGGGCCCTGGGCGCAGCTCAGGAGCAGCCTCCCTAGGGAGCTAACATTTGAGCTGCTCTCGGAGCGAGGGGCAGGGCTGGCCCCGGCCCCACAGAGGACGGCATGACCCAGCAGAGGAAGCAGAGCAAACTCGGGCCCTGAAGGAGACAGTGAGCACGTGTGCGGGGCCAAGGGGACAGTGACCGACGCCTCACAGTGGATACGTGTGCGGGGCCGAGGGGACAGTGACCGACGCGTCACAGTGGACACGTGTGCGGGGCCGAGGGGACAGTGACCGACGCGTCACAGTGGACACGTGTGCGGGGCCGAGGGGACAGTGACCGACGCCTCACAGTGGATACGTGTGCGGGGCCGAGGGGACCGTGACCGACGCCTCACAGTGGATACGTGTGCAGGGCGGAGGGGACAGTGACCGACGCGTCACAGTGGACACGTGTGCGGGGCCGAGGGGACAGTGACCGACGCGTCACAGTGGATACGTGTGCAGGGCCGAGGGGACAGTGACCGACGCGTCACAGTGGATACGTGTGCGGGGCCGAGGGGACAGTGACCGACGCCTCACAGTGGATACGTGTGCGGGGCCGAGGGGGCCGTGACCGACGCCTCACAGTGGACACGTGTGCGGGGCCGAGGGGACAGTGACCGACGCGTCACAGTGGACACGTGTGCGGGGCCGAGGGGACCGTGACCGACGCCTCACAGTGGACACGTGTGCGGGGCCGAGGGGACAGTGACCGACGCGTCACAGTGGACACGTGTGCGGGGCCGAGGGGACCGTGACAGACGCGTCACAGTGGACAGTGAGCACGTGTGCGGGGCCGAGGGGACCATGACAGACGCGTCACAGTGGACAGTGAGCACGTGTGCGGGGCCGAGGGGACAGTGACCGACGCGTCACAGTGGACACGTGTGCGGGGCCGAGGGGACCATGACAGACGCGTCACAGTGGACAGTGAGCACGTGTGCGGGGCTGAGGGGACAGTGACCGACGCGTCACAGTGGACACGTGTGCAGGGCCGAGGGGACCATGACAGACGCGTCACAGTGGACACGTGTGCAGGGCCGAGGGGACCAGGGCCAACGCATCACAGTGCACGGGAGGGTGCAAAGGTGGGATGGGGGCTGGTGAGCCAGCAGGTCTCAGGGGGTCCCAGGGAAAGGGAAGGGCGGCCAGCGTGGGGCAGCAGGGCATGAGGGCCCCACACAGATTGTCCCTGGCTGCTGTTGCTGCCCTGGAGCCAACGGTGGACACTGGAGGTGGGAGAGGCTGGGGCTGCGGCAGCTGCAGGAGACGGTGGTGGTTTGGAGGAAGATGGAAAAATGGAAAAATCCAAGAAATATCTGAGGATCTGAGAGGTATCTGGTGGAGTGACGTGGGATGTGGAGCAGGGGGACGGCCAGAGAGGGAATGTCATGGAAGGAAGACGGAACCCAGCCAGCCTGGGATGACGGAGACGCTCCAGGGACCTCACGGCTCCTCCACGTGGCTGGAGGGCACGCGCGTGTGCTGAGGGCGTGGAGCTCGGGGAGGGCCCAGCCCTGCAGGAGATGGCGGGATGGGGGAGCTGCCTGCAGATGGGTTTGTAGGTTTGGTGGAAGAAAGCTCAGGATACTCCCTTCAGACGGGAAGAACTGACCCAGAGGAACCGAGGTCTCAGGTGGCGGCTGGCTGGGAGGGAGGGTCAGCGTGAGGACAGCGGGCTTCGTGGGGGGCCTGGGGGTGCCGTGGATGCTTCCCGAGGACACTGAATCCTCCAGGAAGGCCAGGAGCACGGGGGAGGGCGCAGACGAGAAAGCAGAGTCCCCACCATCCACAGGGCTTCACTTGGGCACAAGGGAGGAGCTGGTACTGGCCCCAGGCAGGAGGGAGATGGATCCCAAGCCCGGCGCAGCCACAGAAACCGTCGACGGGCTCCGACGCGACCTCAGGGCAGTGTGCTCGGCCTCCTGCGGTGTCTCTGAGGGGTCTGCACCTCCCGCCCCTCCCCTCCTGTTAAATGGGGCCCAGTGCCCGAGTGCGGCGGCTCATGCCTGAAATCCCAGCACTTTTGGAGGCTGAGGCAGGAGGCTTGCTCGAGGCCGAGTGTTTGAGACCAGCCTGGGCAACATAGCAAGACCCCATCTCTACCAAAAAATTAAAAAATTAACTGGTGTGGTGGTGTGTGTCCGTGGTCCCAGCTACTCAGAGGCTGACGTCGTGGCGGTGCGTGTCCGTGGTCCCGGCTACTCGGGGGGCTGACGTCGTGGTGGTGCGTGTCCGTGGTCCCGGCTACTCGGGAGGCTGACGTCGTGGTGGTGCGTGTCTGTGGTCCCAGCTACTCGGGAGGCTGTGGGAAGACTGCTTGAGGCCAGGGGCTCAAGACCAGCCTGGGCAACAGAGACCCTGTTTCTAGAAAACAATGGGGCTCAGGACGTGGACGCCTGTCCCGCCTCCTTTCCAGGGTCCTGGTGAGTACGGTGGTGCCTCATGTGACCTGCCAGAAACTCGGCTGCTCCTGCAGAATGGGGGTGACACGCCTCATCCAGGACCACCCTTAGGACTACATGGGGGCAATGCTGTGAGTGCTCAGGACAGCAGTGGCGTGGGGGCTCACCACGGCAAGGGCCACAAGAGTGCCACGTCCCCTCCCCGAGCACCGAGAACAGCGGCAGTGTGGGGACTCACCATGGCCAGAGCCACACAGGTGCCACTTCCCCTCCCTGAACACTGAGAACAGCGGCAGTGTGGGGACACAGCACAGCGAAGGCCACACGAGTGCCACATTCCCTCCCTGAGCACAGAGAACAGTGGCAATGTGGGGACTCACCATGGCCAGGGCCACACAGGTGCCACTTCCCCTCCCTGAACACTGAGAACAGCGGCAGTGTGGGCGCTCACCACGGCAAAGGCCACGCGAGTGCCGTGTCTCTTCCCTGAGTGCTGAGAACAGCCGCAGTGTGGGGGCTCTCCACAGCGATGGCCACTCAAGCGCCACGTGCCCTCCCCATTTCTGATGGCTCTTGCTGCCCCTGAGCTCACAGCTCACACCCCGGGTCACGTGCCCATTCCCTCCAGGCAGCGTCTGCTCCAGCCACTACCCTGTCAGGAACCACGTTTGACAGGCCATGGTCAAGACTGGGGCTGGGCTCAGTGCCCTGGACCACTGCGCAGTCAGGTCTGCTGGTGAAACTCTCAGAGGCCGTGCCCTCCTCAGGTGAAGGAAGCAGCAACGAATCTCATTTCTCTCCAAAACACTGCACAGAACCTGAACGCCAGCCTCAGGCGGGCCAGCAGCTCGAGGCTCCGTAAACGGGCTCCATCCCGGCTTCTCACCGGGTACCGGGGGGTTTTCAATGACAGCAAACAGCGTATGATTTTACCAGTAAGCAAAGCAGCCTATTAAAAACTTAGACGCCATAACCATTTTCTTCTGAATACACTGCACGGATTTTTAACCTGGGATGCACGGATGGGCGCCTGAAGCTTGGTAGTTTTCTCCCAAAAGTAAAACCGTGGTTGACTTTAGTTTTCTGTTTTTTCCTTAACTGTGCTTTCTAAGTTTCTGCAATGAATAGTGACTACATTTTTTAGTAAGATAATAACGAAGTGACGATGAGAAAATTAGTAGCCGGATTAAGCCCCATTTGATGCCCCCATTTCCATTAGTAACTGGGGTCACAGGATTTAACAGTTCCTTCCTGGCTCAGGTGCGACAGCTCATCAGCTCCTTCCAGGGCTTGTAATCCCGGTTTGTAAAATAACAACATATTATCCAAATCTGGTCAGTTCAGTCCTTCTTCGTCTGGAAGCAGGTCCTATCTTCCTGGCCCCTGTGCTCAGCTGTGAGGCCAGCTCCTCCCCATGGAGCAAATAAACAATTAGAAATTAAAGGCATGAAGATCTCACAGCGACTGAGGACTCGGCTTCCTGTGGACCGTGGGCCCACCACTCAGTCTACCAAGTGGGTCTTCTGCTGAAAGACATTTGGAATTCTGCTCTAAAATCAGATACAGTCTCCTTGCAAAGACCGACACACAAGCTGCCCTGCGTCTCAGGCCTTCGGTGCTCATCGGGATGGGTGGGAGGTACAGACGCCCACCCTCCTGTCACTGATCGGGTCACCCCTGCCCTCCCACCCAGGAAGGGGCCAGCAGGTGGCAGAGCCAGGACACAGGCCAGGCCTTGAAAAAAAGGTGCAATTTTGGGTTTTCTTGAAGATAGACCAAAGTTCACGATGCTTGGAAAGCTCACCTCATTGGTGGGAGAAGCCCAGGCGTGTGGGCACAGGTCCTGGGGACGGGACTGACGGAGACGCCCTCCCAGATGCAGCCTCCCGTGCCTCCAGTGGACAGGGGTCAGTCAGAGCCTGCCCAACCCCAGCCTGGGGAGGGACCCACTGAGAGCTGATCCCTCTGATGCCCATGAAGCCGGCTGAGGCGGGGGCATCCTGGCACAGACCCCAAAGTCACCCCACACCGTGGACAAGTCTCAGAGACTCACCTGCTAAGCCCTCTCCCACCTACCACCTTCCCTCCATCTCCCTCTACACCTGCCCCTCCCCTGAAATCCAGGCCATCATGAAACCAACAGCACAATCAAACCCCAGTGGGCCTCTAGGCCCCAATTCCCAGTGCAATAAAAACATATCATGCAAATCTGGTCAGTTCAGTCCTTCTTCTGGAAACAGGTCCCGTCTGCACTGCTCTAATGGCCACCCGTCCTCGCTATGCACACAGGAAGATGTCCACGGGCCCCATTCCCCAGTGCAATCCCACCCAGCAGCCACCCATTCTCTCTATGCACACTGGAAGATATCCATAGGGCCCCCCCATTCCCCAGTACAATCCCACCCAGCAGCCACCCGTCCTCGCTATGCACACGGGAAGATGTCCACGGGCCCCATTCCCCAGTGCAATCTCACCCAGCAGCCACCCATTCTCTCTATGCACACTGGAAGATATCCATAGGGCCCCCCCATTCCCCAGTACAATCCCACCCAGCAGCTACCCGTCCTCTCTATGCACACGGGAAGATGTCCACAAGCCCCATTCCCCAGTGCAATCTCACCCAGCAGCCACCCATTCTCTCTATGCACATGGGAAGATATCCATAGCGCCCCCCCATTCCCCAGTACAATCCCACCCAGCAGTCACCCGTCCTCTCTATGCACACAGGAAGATGTCCACGGGCCCCATTCCCCAGTGCAATCTCACCCAGCAGTCACCCATTCTCTCTATGCACACTGGAAGATATCCATAGGGCCCCCCCATTCCCCAGTACAATCCCACCCAGCAGCCACCTGTCCTCTCTATGCACACGGGAAGATGTCCACAAGCCCCATTCCCCAGTGCAATCTCGCCCAGTGGCCACCCGTCCTCTCTATGCACATGGGAAGATGTCCACTGCCTTTCAAATAGGTTCTCCCCATCTGGAACGCTCTCCCCTTCCTGCCACCTGCCCTGAGCACCTCCCACCACTTAACCCACCAACTTTAGACCAAAGGTGACAGTCTGCTTCTTCCCCGGCCTCGCTGAAGAATCCTATCGCCCGGATATCCGTCAGTATACAGGACTCATTCCTATTGATTCATCATTATTAATCTACGTCACTAGTTAACATGGCTAGTTAATGTGATTAACGTGCACTAGTTACACAAGTTAACATGCACGAACAGAGTGCCCTGTGCCTTCATTATTTCATGTTGCTGTCAGCACTAAGAGTTCGGGGCCACACAGACCCTCGGACGCCACTGGGTTTTGCCCACAGTCTCTCCCCGGGTCACAGCACGAGACAGAGGCGATGTTCGTATGCAGTTGCCTCCTCAGAAGGACTCCAAGAGATGCTGGCATTTCTTATGAAATAAGCGTCTTACATAGAAAGATGGCTGCTGTCACAGAAATACTAATGGACTTTGGTGCCAGGCCCCAATCGGTGTGGCCTTAGGCAAGCCACATAACCCCAGACAGCTCCGGCAACCCACTGGGAAGCTCTAGAAGGAAGAACCCAGAGCAGGTCTGGAGAGACAGGGAGAGACGGCCCTGAAAGAGAGAGGTGTGTGGCCCGGGCCTGGGGGTCCCAACACCCCGCAGGGTGCTCATGGGGATGGAGACTGGGTGCAGCCACCACTCATCCTTGGTTTCTCGTGGGAGCAGGAACCCTTTCTAACAACAACCCCAACCTGACTTTAAATTAACCAGTTCCACCTCCTACAGACCTGTGGACCACAGAAACACATCCAGGTGTGAGATGCTGCCGTCAGCGTGGGCCCCCATGTTGCCGCCTTTGGCCCTGGTCATCTCGTCCGTCAAGAGGGCCAGCGTCTGTCCTTGGGGGTCACGGTCAGGCGGTCCCCCTGCTCTTCACAGCCACTGTCTGGCCTCAAGGGTCAGTTATTCCTGAAGACGAATGGGGACAGCTGTGTGTGCTGGAAGTAGGGCCTCACCCAAAGAGGGCTCAGATGTGGAGAATGTGACACCGGGAGAGCTCAGGTCACCCTGTTCTTCCCACCGCACACATCTCCAAGCCAGAGAGGTCTGCTCGGTGTCCCAGACCCCGGGTGCCCACACCCAGGCTCATATACCCATTCACCCTGGGCACCGAGGGACCTGGTTTTGAGGAAAAGGACATAGTTGGCCAGCAGTGGGCACCCTGGGGCTGGCATCAAGGAGGCTAGAACTGTGGGAACCTACTGCGAGGTAAGGGGCTGGAAGAGCTGGGAGCCTGCACCTGCTCTGGACCTGGATCTGCCAGTCCTCGACTCTCCTGGAGGCCTCAAGTGACAGGCAAGGCCCCATCAGCACTGCCCAAAGTCCCGTCCATCACACACCACCCTCAGGACACTTTCGCCAGAACCGCCTCCACCCCAGACTGTTATTTATTCCACGATTTTCTTCAAGGCCCCTTTTATTTTGAAAGATCTGTTTTTTAAAAGAAAACTGCAGCCTTGCCCCAGTGGGGACCATGTCTGCATCAGAAGGAAAGTCGGCAGGTGCGCATCGGGGCACACTCCTGCAGCTAGGGGGCTGCTGTCTCTGCTCAGCACGGGGAGGCCGGTGCCTGGGTGGCCCCAGGCCTCAGCAGCATGAGCTTTTGCTCCTCACCTTCCACCAGACGGCTGGGAAGGGAGTTGAGTGCGGACTGAGCTATTTGCCGCCTCCTCCAGGCTCCACTTGAAATCGTCCTTTGCAGGTGGTCATTGTCCTTCTTTCAGGATAACCCAAGGTCCCCCAGCCCTGGGGCCATGGGCGTCCAGCTAATTGGGCATCTTCCCTTTTCTCTCTCTAGGCCGGCCGAGCGAGGCCCTGGGACCGTGACCTGCAGGGGCAGTTGCCACCTGGGGTGGGTGGGAGGGGGAACAGTGGCCTTTCTGGAGCTGGCGCTGCCTTCCAAGGAGCCCTGCTCCCAAGGAACAGACACGGTGGCTGTGCCCTCCCAGGTACCTGCAGGCAGCTCCCTCTCGTGGGCTGACCCAGCGGAAGCCCTTTGTTCCTTGAAGCTCACCCGCTGGTTAGTCCTGGATTCTAGCTGGACTCATTCTTCCCCTTTTGGCAGATCAATCAGTGTCAAGAACTTTGGTCCTGCAGAGTCATTTTTCTTTGTTCAGGCATGTTCTCCCAACCACAGTCTTTGTCCCAATCTGGATGGAGCAATTATGAAGTCTGTATTTCAGTCCAGAAGCTGCCCGAATCCTCACATGCCAGTGGGATGTCATTCATTCTTTGCATCCATAATTGTGCATGATAGAAATTTAATTATCGCCAGCCCCAGCCCAAGGCACTGCATGCCCGATTTCAAGCTGAATAGAGGTAGATAATATCCCAAGACTCTTTAAAGGTGGCAATGGCCGGTTACCAGGCAGCCAGGAGCCCAGCTATAAATAAACCTCCGCTGGCCCTAACCAGCTGTGCTGTAGACCACGTGGCGCTCCATGAATTGGATTGGGTGGTTCTGAGCAGGAGAGATTTAATGGAACCGTTCCGAGGGAAGGCTTTGGAGACTCGCAGGCATCGTTCTCCATTACAACAATATTTCTGGGCTCACGTTTAATAGTAAGATGAATGACTTGAGATTAAAGTGAGCACCCAGGGGCCGGACAGCTGAGGGGACAGAACTCAGAGCCTGGAGCACGCAGGTGCTAATCTCGGACAAGCCTCCTGCCCTAAGAGCCTTGGTTTCCCTCGCTGTGGAGCGGTGGTTGGAAGGCAGGGCTGGCCTTTGAAGGCTACCCCTGTTCTTGGTTGCAGGACCTGTCTAGGGGCACCAGGCTCTAAACCTGCCTGATTGGCTTGGCCACGCCAAGGGCCTAGCCAGAGGCTGCTATCTCAAGCAGCTGGGTCTTCACCCAGATCCTCCAACTGGAAGTTCGTACTCAGAAGGGCCCTCGGAACAGCCGTGGCTGAGTCAGGCCAGCCAGGCAGCAGCAAGCGGGGTCAGCAAGCAGGTCAGCCCCCTTCTAGGACAGATCACATCCTCCTGGCCTAGGCCAGCCCTCTTGTGCCGTTCCCTGCAGACCAGGAGACCTGGACCTGGACATGGAGCAGCTCCCATGGCACACTTGGTTCACAGGTGAGGGTCCCCTGCTTCCTCAGGAAGACAGACCTCTTCACAAATGAGAACTCACCTGTGAGCATCTCCAAGCCCAAGGCAGCAGGGAGAATAGGGCCCAGCATCTAGACTGAGACCCTCATGAGGCTCAGGCACCTGCCCAGCCCTGGCTTCCCCAGATGAGAAGGATCAGCCCACCTTGAAATGCTGCTGCTGTACAAAGACCCCACCCAGTAGGAGAGCTTCCCCCAAAATGCTGCAGTGTTGGAGACCCTGCCCAGCAGGTGCGCTGTCAGGCTCCGCTCTCACCTCTTTACTCGTATTTGCACATTTAAGCCCCAACAACCCTGTGAGGCCAGATGTATTTGGGAACTGCAGGTATTTCGATGACAAAGGCACACGTGGTGCATGGTGTGGATCATGGCATGCCCACACGGGTCTAGGGCAGAACCCCATAATTAAACCCACTCCTGTTCCTCAGAGGAACATGTGACTATTCAATGTAACAGAGAAAAATCAGGACTTTTAACTAGCCTCGACAATTTAGGTTTTGCCCCTAAATACGTTCAGCCTGAGTCAGTTTTCGCTAGTGAATGGGTTTTGCTTGGCATTCAGATTTGTAAGTCAGAGTCCAGATTATACCAGGTCCAGATTATAACCTTCTCTGTGTTCTCGGTGAGAAACCAGGTGCTGGAGGCGTTAATCCATTTGCCCACTTCCACTCTGGCTAATGGCTGGCAGAGCCAGGATTCACCCCCAGATCTCCTGGGCCAGAGCCTGCTGTCCTGCCTGGGTGATGCGGCTGTGTCTGCCCATCGTCCTTGCAGGCCCTGCTTGGCCCTGCAGAATGACTGAGCAGCCAGCCTGTCCTTGGACGGGTCCCCACCCCAGAAGACTGGATGAGAACCAATGTGGCCAGCATGGTCTAGGAGGCGAGCGAGCGAGATCAGCTGGGGCAGGCCTTCAGTAGGCACAGGAATTAACCAGGACACACCCAGGCGGAGGCCACACCAGAATCCTGGGGTAGGGATTCCCTGGCAAGGGCTCTGTCCACACCCCTGCAATGTCAGGCAGCCTGGGCACCACTGCCCCGGGACAGCTGGACCAAAGAGGGGTGGCAGTGAGCCAAGCCTAGCTTGTCCAGATGGACAAAGCACTCCTAAGGTGGGCAAAGATGCCCCAGGTCCCAGGGGGCCCCACACTCTCCCTGAAGCTGCTCTGGGAGCTCCTGGCACAGAACTCCCACACCTCTTCAGTGTTGGTGTTGGAAAGCTGACCGGTCGGTGAGGGAGGTGGCGAGCTGCAGTTGCCTGCCAAGGGCCTGGTGGCCTTTGGAATCCACAAAGCCCTCCCTCTGCTCAGACCCTGCCTGTGCACACGAGGGGACTGTTGTGGAAGGCCACGCACAAAGTACTAGTTAATATTTAACAAGCTTGCTCACATGCACATCTCATCCTATCCTTGCATTGGTCCCACGCAGCGAGATCCCACTGGACAGATGGGGAAAATGAGCTGGAGAGAAGCTCATACGGACAGCGGCACTGGGGACTTTCTAACTTGCGTGCTGCTCCTCCCGAACGCCCTGGCTGGTGTGCACGGCTCTCTCATTCCTCTCCCTGCCAAGACGGACCCACCTGGAAGGTAAGCTGCCCGACAGACCCTGTGGAAGGTCCTCAGCCCCTCCCAGTGGAGCCCCCTCCTCTCCACACGGCCTGGCTGGCGTGCACGGCTCTGAAGTGCTCGTTCCTCCTCAGGATCGGGCACTGTGCGTGTGTGTCTCTTCCTGGGGCTGTCAGGTCCACAGAGGCAGCAGATCTCGTTGAGGCTGAACTCATCCTCAACTCCCCACCACCCAGAAAGGGGGTCTGACATGCAGGAGGTGCCAGTAAAATCTGCTGAATGGACAAACATGTTGATCAATGCATCGGATATTTCCTTAATGGCCATGCTCACTCTCAGGGGCAGAAGGGACGTTCTGGCTGTGGCTGTCTGCAGGACTGTTCCCCAGCACAGCTGAAAGCCCTCAGACCGCTGCAGGGGCAGGAGAAAGGCAGCGCTTTCACGGAGGGGGGCCTGGAGGGGGGCAGGGGTTCAGGTTACTCCCAGGCAGCATGGAGGGAAGAGGACTCCCAGCTTGTCCAGCTGATCTCTGTTATGAGGTGAGCTGATCAAGGGGTGGGGAGAGAGCTGCAAGTTCTGTCTCCCCATGACCAGGTGAGTGCCCAGCAAACAACTCAGCACCCGGCAGAGAGAGCCAGAAACAGCCCCGAAGAGCTCAGGAGAACCTACCTGCTGGCCTGAAAGGGGACACCTAAGTCCTGTGTCAGCAACTGGACAGAACCCCAGGCTGCTGGGACCCTTTCAGCACCAAGGTTGCTTCTGAGACACACATGAAGCTAATGCCTGGGACTGCTGGCCTCATCACACAGCGCAAAGAAAGCCCTGCCTTCAGGCTGTCATGGCCTCTGCACCTGCCCACAGCTGTGTGCACCCAGGCCCACTCCCTGCAATCCCCGGGGAGCAGCTGCTCCCACTAAAGGGCCTCAGCCCCGCCCTCACTACCTCTCCAAGCACTGGTGACAAATGGGACCTTCACAAACAATCGCCTACAAGCTGAGAACAATGGCACCAAACCTCCACGCTCAGAAGCTGCAGTGGCATATTTTCCTGAAATCAGCAACTGGATGCCCTTTTTTGTCCAATTCAGCAGATCCCAAAGTACCTGGAGATGTTGCCTTCAAACTCCTCCATCTGGGAGGCCCAGGCCTCCGTCCTGAGCCCTGCCTATGTCTCCTCAGTATGAAACTGCACAGCGCCTTGCTGAGGTCTGACGAAGGACGGCTTCAAAACCACAAGAAGCAGGCTCATGGCTGTCTCCCCACCCAGCCAGGGTCGTGTGTAGAAAAGCAGGAGAGTTCCATGCACACGCTTCCGGTGGAGGGGTCACCGCCGCCAGAGATACCCCTCTATTCCTCTACCCCAGGAGGGAAGGACTCTGTCATCCAGTTGGCACCCCCGGGACCACCCAGGTGAGGACGCAGAGCGCAGTGGACCGGCTGTCCAGGCGTCTCCCCGCTCATCGTGCGGCAGATCAGGAGCACATCCAGTGTGAGAGCACACGAGACGCGAGCCCTCTGTCCCTCCTCGCTGCCCGTGCAGATTGCTGCAGGAGGTGACGCTGCCGTAATGAGCAACGGCCTCCCAGACCTCTCTAACACATAGCCTGCCCCAGCAGCCCTGATGCCACACAGCCGGCACACAGACGGCCCTGAGTGCACCCAAGGACACCTACCCACGCTGGTGATCCTCTGGGAGCTGAGGTCGTGCAGCAGGGCCTCGATGGCCGGGTTGTGTCTGGAGTACAGCTCGTACCGGTTGATACCAATGTGGAACTTGAGCCAGTTGGGATAGGAGTCCACGGCCGCCTCCCCGGGGGAGAGGAATTCTGCACCTTCAGCACCCGCATGCGGCCTGCAGGGAGCAGCGAGGACGAACATCAGCATGGAAAGAACAGGCCCGTGAGTCGGATGACGGGGAGAGGGCACCGACGCCAGTGTTTTTAACTTTGGGTTCAAGCAAGTGCAGATGTGTTGAAGGCGCCTCTGCTTAAAGAGGGCCCTGCAACGTCTGCGCTTTCTTCTGTGGCCGCTCGGCTGCCAACTAATAACACGGTGAAAGGCCTGTAATTCTTACTCACCCTCTGGAGACACCACAGACAGCTCTAACTACAGCAAAACTAATTCCAGGACGTCAGCGCTGCCCTGCCATCCCCGCCACGTCTGTCCCAGGGTCACCGAAATGGCCCAACCATGACCTCAGCTGAGGGTGCGAGGGGCTGTGGCCCTCCCCTGGAGTAGAGGGGAGAACCTACCATTGACCACAGGCTGCATGAAACTCACAGACACGCCCAGTCTGTCAGGAACCTTCCCCAGCTCTCTGCTTTTGTTCCAACAACCAGGGGCACAATGATGCAAGAGGCTAAATTTGATTTTAATGAGAGCAGCCTTGGGTGGGGAGAGAGGAAGGAGGCAGCACTCTCTCCAGCCCAGGCTCCCATGGAGGACCCGCCGCCCACGCAGCCTGTCCTCACATCTCTGGGGTCAAGGGACCGTTCTGGAGGAGGGACAGACCCTCCGTCTGCCTGCTGGGCTGGAGGGAAACGCGGAACTTGTCCTAGCTCGAATTCACCTAAAGCTGAGGTGCTTTCTGCCGAAGCTCTGTCCTGCGGTGGACACGGGGGCGGGGTGGGGGGCTAGGATACACTTCCTGGCCACTCGCTGCTCTGGGCGGCCGTCTCTCCCTGCCGAGAGCCACAGCCCAGGCCAATGCTCTGGTTCTCAAATTTCCAAGCATTTCCTTGAACCTGACCAGCAGGCAAGGCTCAGAGGCTTCCAAACAGCCAGTGTGTTTAGACAGAAGACACTGGGCCTGGACATTTCAGGGAAGAAGGGACTTTCAACCAGATCTTTTGGAAGGCTGGTCTCCCCCTCTGCTGCTGGGGTAACCTTCGGCAGGTAGTTACTTATTCTGGCCTTGTCGTGGTTAATGTTCCACTGCTTCGGTGTAGCATCTGCTTGTTTTGATCTGTGTGGCGGAGGGAGGGGCCGGGGGGTGGGGAAAGGGCTTAGCCAGGACAGTTTAAAGAGAGGTTCCTGCCGTGGCTTCTCGCCCTTTATCGAGCCATCATCTCTTTGCAGCCAGCACACCCACCGCCCTTGCTGGCTGGGCCGCCTTGTTGCACCTCACGGCTGCCAGCAAGCCCCTCTGATAATTCTGCTCCAGCCACTGGGTTTAAAAGACTCAATAGGCACATCCAGACCTTCTCCAAGGTGCCCACCCAGAGCACCCTCGCCAAGTGTCTGAAAGCCCAGCGGCAGCCTGGCTCCTTCCCTCACCAACTCATTCATTCATTGCCTGACCCCATTTCCCAAGCTGGTGACCACGGCTGGTCAGGACTCGCTTCTAAAGGGCGCGGGGTCTGGCTTCCTCACCAGCAGCCACAGGGCACAGCTCCCGGACCAGCCGGCAGCCCCTCCCAAGGAGGAGGTTATTCTGGAGACAAAGGCAGCGCCCTGAGGTAGGCGGCTGCCTCCTCCCGCACCACACTCCCTGCCCGGCCTCTTCCATGGGGGGCGGCCCTCTGGGGCCCCTGAACCTCTCTACACCATGCCTTGGGCTCACGGCTCCCTTGGGGGTGGGCACCTGCCAGCCCCCACTCACCAGTCCGGGTTCTCCGCCGCTTTGGGGCTGAGCCTGGTGTCGCTGTTCACATTGAACAGGACGTCCTCCTCCGTGAGCGGCGGAACCGCCACCCGGTAAAGCGGGTGCTCGAACAGCCTGGCCAGGAGGGAGGCGTCTCCGCCGGGGCCGGGGGGCGACTCGGACCGACGCGGGCCGGGGTCTCGCAGCAGCGGCCGGTGCGCGGGGTCGTGGGGTCTTAGGGCGCCGGGATCCCGCCCCCGCAAGGCGCGCTCGGCCGGCTCGGCCGCGGGCGGCAGTTTCTCCAGCGAGTGGGACGAGAGGTTGGAGGAGGGGTCGGAGCTGAAGTCCTGCAGGATGCGGAGCGTGTGCTTGTTGGGCCAGCCCGCGTCGCCGGCGGCGGAGGAGGCGGCCGGGGGCTCCCCGGGGCGGCCCCGAACCTGGGCCCAGCCGGGCGCGGCCACCTCGGCGGCGGGCTGCGCGCACGAACAGCCGGGCTCCCCCGAGGGCCGCGCGCCGCGTCGCTCCAGCCTGGGCAGCAGGTCCAGGGCGATGTGCAGCGCGCAGGCCACCAGGAACACCATCAGGATGAGCACGCGGAACCGGCGCACCAGCATCATCTTCATGGCCGCGCGGGCCGGCCCGGGCCTGGAGCGCGTTCTGCCCGCGCGCCCCTCTAGCTGCAGCTGGGCACGAGCGCGGCGCCGCCTCGCGGGTCAAGGTCCATCGGTGCCGGGCGGCTACCAGCTCCGGGGCTGTCCCCGGGCCCGGGCCGCGTGCAGGGCGCCCGCCGCCGGAGCGCTGGGTCCCCGCGCCATCTCGGGCCCGTCCCCGCTCGGCCTCTCCGGAGCGGCCGCGCCCTCAGCCGGGGAGCCCAGGGGTCCTGGTCCGCGGAGCCGGGCGCGCGGGGGGCGGCTGGGGCCGCAGCAGGGGGAGGCTCGGCGCTCGCAGCCGCCGGCGCGGGGCTCATCGGGCGTGTGGGTCCATCCCGGCCGGGGCGCGACGGGCCTGGGCGGTGGCGGCGGCCGCAGGCGTCCCGATCCTCAGCGCGCTCCTCTCCAGGCGCCGGGCGGGCGGGCGGGGAAGGGGCGGCTCCTCCGGGCCGGGCTCTGCTCTCACGCCGCGCCCGGGAGACCGGGGCTGGGGGGAAGGGGGGGGCGAAGGGCGGAAGGGGTGGGCGCGGGGAGCGGCCGGCGGGGTCCCGGGCAGGTGCAGCGGCCGCCCCGAGCGCAGCTCCCGCCTGGCCGAGCCTCTCGGCGCCCCGCGTCCCGGGCGGGCAGATATCGAGCGCCGCGGAGCCGCCCCCCGCGTCAGCGCCCACAGATTGGCGGAGCCGCCGCCCCACGAGTCACGGCTGGGCCCGGGCCGGCTGCGCTCCCGCTCTCCTTCCTCCTCCCCTCGGCCGCGCCCCGCGACGCCTCTGAGCTCCGGGCCCGCTAAGGAGAGGGCTCCTCCTGCCCGCGGTTTGCAGAGGGAAGCGGCGGAGACCGGGAGGGCGCGCTCGGTTCTGGCCAGGCCAGCAGCTGCGGCCGAGTGGGGGGCTCCGGCCTGGCCGCTTCCTGGGACCCCCTCCCGCCCGGGGCCGCCGCCGCCAGCTGCAGCCTCTCGGCTCCTCCCCAGAGGAGCGCGGGGCCGGGGCCCAGGCCAAGTCCCTCCCCGGAGCCGCGGGGCGTCTGCGCCGCCGGATGAGCTCCCCGCCGGGCGGCGACCCCGTGCCCCACGCCCGTCTCGGCAAGGAGGAGGCGGAGGCGGCCCCGCGAGAGAGGCCCAAGGAGCGACTGGGCCTGGACCCAGGGGACGCCAGGGCAGCGGAGCTCCCGGCACCGGTCCCGTCCCCCCCCCCCCGCCCACCCGCGGGACGCGCCCGCCTTAACCCTCCAGGCGCCGGGCCCGCTGGGGGCGCTGAGAGGGGCTGGTGTGCCGGGGGCGCCTTCCTGCTTGGGGCCGACGGGGGTGTGTGAGTGCAGGCGTGTGCGTGTGTGTGCGCATGTGTGTGTGTGGATGTGCGTGTGCGTGTGTATGCCTGTGTGTGTTTGTGTGTGCGTCTGTGTGCATGTGTGTGTGCACATGCATGTGTGTTCACGTGAGTGCATCTCATCTGTCACCCACAACCAGGGGAGCGGTGCTTGTACAACCAGCTGGTGGCTTCTGCAACCAGCAGCTTCTGGCCGTGCAGCTCCCTGTAGGGAATATGAGTTAATCTGGATGTCAGCCTAAGATGTAGTCAGGGAGGTAAGTGTGTGGGAGGAGGCCACATCCCCTGTGCCTCAAGCCGGCTGCTTCCACAGTGCCCAGACTGCCTGGGCCAGCAGCCTCGCCAGCAAGCCCAGGCGGGTGGGCCGGGAGCAGGGCCTGGGCCCCCCCTCTTACTTTCACCGGCTGGCTGTGTTACCAGGGCCCTCTCCGCCCTCTCTGAGCCTCAGTTTCCTCTGATGTGAATTAAGGGCGTTGAGCCCATTGTTCCTGAGGAATCACTCATCTCTGAGCCTGGCCCATTGCCTGGCATTCCGTGGGCACCCACTAGATACTTATAAGGGGAGAAGTTGTTCCAGTCCGGCTGGCCAGTGGAATCCATGCGTCTTGGGCCATTTGAAGTGAGTGAAGGGCTGGGTGCGGCCCACCTGGAGCTGGACTGGAGGCTGTGTTGGGTGGGGCGGTGTGACCTGGAGGTGGGCTGCCCCCTCAGGAGACAGCTTCACCCCTGTGAGTGGACCTCATCCTTCCTTCCTTCCACTCACATGGACAGCACATCTGTGTGTAGACAGGGTCACTGAGAGAGGCCAAGGAGGGTGAGGAGGAAGATCCCGGGTGTGGGGGGAGTCCTGGGGGAGCAGACAGCAGGGACAGAAGCCTGTGGCAGGAAGGAAGGTCTTGGCCTGTGTTCTCCCAGCAAGGGTCCCCTTGGACTTGGAGTTCTATAGGCTCCTGGCCCCCCCATCTCTCCCGTGGTCTACAGGACCTCGACGCAGAGCTGTGGCTAGTGTCTTGGGGCAGACATGGGGCTGAGCAGACCCCATGGAACACTATTATCCGGTGTGGGGGGCCTCATGGAGGTTCCCTGGGCACTTACTTTCACTTGCCTCCTGCCCCCAACTCCTCTCCCCTCCCATCCTCACCCCCAGAGTGGTTTTTGGGAGCCCGGCAGCTATCTGGACCCGTGTGCACCCCTGGACGCCTCCCTCCCTCGCAGAGGGTCCTGGTTCATCTCGTCTGTTGCCTCTTAGAACAGTGGCCTCTACCTCGCCAGGTCCTTCAGAAGCGCCCCCCTCCCTGCCCCGCCACTGTTTTCCCAACAGCACCCGCCGTGGTCTGAGGACACTTTCTTCTGCTCCTGTTTATTGTTTATCTCCCCCAAGCACAAGCAGTCGAGTTAAGACAGGAGCCTCGTTCAAAGTTCCGCCCGGGGCCAGGCACAGCGCAGGCTCTCAGAGGAGGGCCCAGGAGTCCACAGGCTGCGGCGGCGCGAGACAAAAGTCGGAAGACAGGACCCCGCTGAGGAGTGAGGAGACAGCGGCCAACCCTCCGCCAGACCCTTCCGCCTGGTGCCTTTACTGGGCTCTGAGGAGGAATTTGGTGGTTCAGTCGGCCCATCCGTGGACACCATAAAAACAAAGAGAAAACAGACACACACAGATGCACACATAGATACACACAGATACACACAGACACGGATATATAGACACACACAGATACACACACGTGGACACAGACACACACATAGACACAGATATATAGACACACACAGATACACACACGTGGACACAAACACACACAGACATACCCATAGTTACGGATATATGCATGGATACACAATACACAGACACACAGATGATACATGCATAGACAGATATATGGACACACACACACGGACACACAGATACACACATAGACACATAGACAGACACAGATACAGACACAGGCACATGTAGACACACATGGACATACAATACTCAGATGAACACAGAGATAATATACACATAGACACAGATCTATAGATACACAAAGACATACACACAGATATACATAGATGCACACATAGACACAGATACACATGTCATCACACATGGACACACACAGACACACACCAATACACACATAGACATACGAAGACACAGGTACACAGACACGTATACACACAGACACGCATATATACATACAGACGCAGATATACACACAGACACAGACATACACACACACACAGACACAGATATACACAGATACATGGACAGATACACATTCACATACACACATAGATACACAGAAACACACAGACACACAGACACATAGAGACACACACACAGCCACACAGGCCCTGAGCCTCCCTGGGCCCTCCCTTGTGCAGAGGCGGAGGGGCTGGCTGTCGGGGAGGGCACCTGGAGAGGACACACAGCCCCATCAGAGACCAGGGAGTGGCTCTGGGAGCTCTTTTCGTCCAAAGGGGCTGGAGCTCCAGTTAGCCAAGGTGAGCGCCAGGTGGTGACAGGAATGACATAGGAAAATAAGACGGCCCGGGCAGGGAGGGCTGCCTGCTCTGGGTGTGAGGGGATTGCTGTCTTAGACCACGTGGCCCAGGAAGGCCTCCAGGCATGGCTTTGCACAGAAGCTGGTACCTGAGGGCTCAGCCCCGTGGAGGCCTGCGGGGTGGAAATGCCAAGGCTGGGGCAGGGGCATGTCTGACCCTCTGCGGGGAGAGAAGGCCTGTGAGGTGGGCATTGTGTGAGGGGCCAAGTGGCCTCTGTAAGGTCTGCAGGTGGGGCCAGGCTGTGGGCTGCGTCCTGAGTGAGGGGGCCGTGGGAAGGCTGGGGACAGAGGGACGACGCTGGGTCTTGGGTCGGGAGAGGCTCACCTAGGGGCCGGGTGGATGGGTCTAAGGAGGGCTAAGGGCGGGGCAGGGAGAGCAGCTGTGTGGTGAGGACGAAGGGAGGTCGGCCAGAGCCCCCGGGGAAGGGCTGTTGTCATGTGGATGAGCTGGGAATTAGGAAAGCTTGTGGATTGCGAGGCCTCAGTATGCAAAGCCCTGGGACAGACGGGCCCCCCAGGAATGAGGGGGGCAGACGGGCTCCCCAGGAATGAGGGGGGCAGACGGGCTCCCCAGGAATGAGGGGGACAGATGGGATCCCCAGGAATGAGGGGGGACAGATGGGTCCCCCAGGAATGGGGGGGGCAGACAGGCTCCCCAGGAATGAGGGGGGCAGACGGGCTCCCCAGGAATGAGGGGGGCAGACGGGCTTCCCAGGAATGAGGGGGACAGATGGGCTCCCCAGGATAAGGGGGGACAGAAGACCCCAGGCCTGAGGACCAGGCCTGCCCCCTGGCACCACCAGACACCAGGAGGGCACTGCTGCTCTTAATTGAAAGTCTTGGTGCAGGTGAGGGCGTGGAGGATTCCTGGGGGAAGCTTCGTGCTGCAAGGTGGAAAAGACAGATAACAAGAGAAAAACAGAAGCTTAATAGCATGTATACCTTGGTCTGCAAGGGACGGACTCGGGACAGGCTATGTCGCAAAGGCGTGGCTTGGAGCTCAGCCTTAAAGACCATGTTCGACGGAAACAAAGAGAAAGAGTGTGTGGGGAGGGGCCCAAGAAATTACCCCAAACTGGGGTCAGGCCTTCTCCATGGATGAGCGTCTCCGGTGACTTACAGGCGGCCTTCTGGCCCAGAGAGGGGGCACCCTGGTGAGCGCAGATGCCTGTACGGATGTGACTTTCTCTCATAGAACAGCAGCTTCCACTCTTGTTTTCAGAATTTCTCCTGTGGTTGCAGTTTCTCAAAATAAGCAGCTCAAAATAATGCTTATGCCAAAGAGGCATATTTTGGGGTGGCATATTCTGGTCTGCTCTACGTGGAAGCGGACAGAAAAATGGGGCAGAGGCCAGGGAGGGGAGCGGGACCGACTTCCAGTTCCCAGACCCGAGCAAGGGAACCTGAGGCCGAGCTCTGGAGCTTGGGGTCTGGAAGGGGTTCTCTGAGGACACTCTGGGAGTGGGGGAACAGCTGCCTCCTCAGGTTTCCCCCAAGGGATCCTGCCTGGGGAGACCTGGACTGGGCAAGGCTTGGCAGCTGCCCTGCCAGGAGGAGGGAGACGGCTGCAGTGGGGGGGTGCAGGGTCGCTGGGGTCCCACCCGGGGGTGCTGGGACCGGCCAGAGGACACTGCGATTTCCCAATGGGCCAGGAAGGAAGGAGGCGCTTTCCAGGCAGAGCATGACCCCGCACAGGAGGCAGAGACAGAGTCTCTGAGTGTCCCCGTCAGGTCCCTGGGACTGTGGCAGGGGAAGAAGCCGCAGTACCTCCTGCCCTTTAGGACAGGAGAGGTTGTCGTCCCAGCGTTGCCCAGCAGCTGGTTGGAGCCCAGGGCTCCTCAGATGAGCCAGCGCCTGAGCCCTGAGCTGCCAGCTGGCCTGGCTGGAGCCGCCACTGATCTTCCCAGGAGAAAGAGGCCGCCGTGCGTAAGTAGCGAGGTATAAGAGGACGTGTAGAGCCGTGTCGCTCGCGCAAGAAGGGGAAAGAAGGAAGCCTGTCTGCATGGCTGCGCAGGGGATATTGGAACAGAACTGAAGGAACTCATGCAACGCTTCTCTGTGAAGGGGGCACCGCGATGTATGGACAAGGGTGGGAAAGGGATGCTGGGCCATAAAGTTTGGGGTGCGTGATGGTGTGGAGGAGAAAGCCCTCCTGGGAGCTGTGGCCAGGGAGTGTGCAGTCCACGAGCAGATGGAGCTTTATGTGCCTCCCACCTCCTCCCAGGGGCCCCCCACGACTCGCTGAGGCCCCATCAGCAACAGGATGACGGGTTTTCTTTCCCACACAGATCGGGGACGTCCCAGCCTCCTGAGGTGGGGCAGAGGCGGGCACCGCAGCCCAAGAGCTGGCTTTCCCCCTGCACCTCCACCCATGCGTTGGCCTGGAGTGGCCCAGCGGAGGGTCCAGGTGGGGGTGCTGGAGGGGCCCACCCAGCTCAGGCCTGGCACCTGCACCTTTCTGGATCCCACGATGTTTTGCTGAGGGTTACTCATCCAAGACCTGCCCGGAGGCTCCGAGCTGTTTACCACAGGCCAGCTCTGGCCGTAGCCTATTCTGGGAGCCTGGGGGTGCTGGGAGGAGGCTGGGGCTCTGGGTGGCAGGAGGAGGAGAGCCGTCTTGTCCTTACTGAGCGTCCAGCGGGCGCCAGATGCTGCGCCGCGTGCAATTCTAATCCTGGCCGGCAAAGCCAGAACGGGACAATATTCCTTCCTCCCCAGGCCTCCCGCTTGGCTGTGGGTGCTGACGGGCAATGGGCCTGGCTATCGGGGCTCACAGGGGAGCCGGGAGAGCCGCTAGCAGGAGAAAATGTGAGCTCTGCATCTGCTGGGCTGGGTTCGGGGGACGCGGGGTGGCTGGGGAGGGTCGTGCTCGTCCCTCCGGCTGCTGTCGCTGGCCCGCCGGCCAGTCCGCCCCAACGCTGGACTCCTGGGCTATCCGTTCCCCACCCACCGTCTGAGGGTCTTTGAAAATAGAACTCATTCGTTTTCATTAAAAGCAACCGATCAAGAAGCCGAAAACACAAGAATAAAACAATGTAAAAGCTTGACTTTATTTTGTATCCGTCAAACACAGGACTCACAGTCCGTTACACATGGAGCATTCGCAACACTGATCATGTTCTGATGGTCACACAATGTCGGGAAATTCCAAAAGGCAGATAATCTAGAGTCTGTTCACGGCATCCACACACACACACCGGTGCACAGGCACACGAGCACACAGTCTACAGATTGTTCGTAGACACAGTGTGGTATAATGAACAAAAGCTGGCTTTAAAAATAGTTCTACCTGGGCCCGGTGCGGTGGCTCACGCCTGTAATCCCAGCGCTTTGGGAGGCCGAGGCGGGTGGATCACCAGAGGTCAGGAGTTCGAGACCAGCCTGACCAACATGGAGAAATCCCGTCTCTACTAAAAATACAAAAATTAGCCGGGTATGGTGGCGCATGCCTGTAATCCCAGCTACTCGGGAGGCAGAGGTGGGAGAATCGCTTGAACCTGGTAGGTGGAGGTTGCAGTGAGCCAAGATCACGCCACTGCACTCCAGCCTGGGCAACAAGAGAGAAACTCTGTCTCAAAAAAAACAAAAATTAGTTAGAAGGAAGTGGGTCAGATGTGGCCCCTACGGCCTCTCAAACATAGAATTCTTAGTTCTCTACCAAGAAACTACTTAAAGCAATGACCAGACTTCCAGGCCTACATATTAGTTATATGAAAGAGTCCAAAAAAAGTCCAGGGGCTGGGCTCACAGGGGCTCACACCTGTCATCCCAGCACTTTCAGAGGCCTAGGTGGGTGGACTGATTGAGCTAGGAGTTCGAGAGCAGCTGAGGAAACAGAGGGAGACCCCATCTCTACAAAAAATAAAAACATGAGCCGGGCGTGGTGGTGCGTGCCTGTAGTCCCAGCTTCTCAGGGGGCTGAGGTGGGAGGATCTCCTGAGCCCAGGAAACCGAGGCTGCAGTGAGCGGTGATCACACCACCGCAGCCCGGCCCGAGCAACAGCTGGACCCTGTCTCAATAAAAACCCAAAAATCAAAACAGCCAGACCTCTGCTTTCTGACCCTCGTGGGCCCTGTGAGGCCGCAGCCTGAGGGAGAAGATGCCCAGGGCTGGGACAGCCGCACCAAGTTCCTGCCGGAGTCGGGGAGGCCAATCCTGCCGGGGGCCCCGGAGAAGGCAGAGCAGAGGGCACAGCACCCAGGGATTCAGCCGGCCCCGCGTCCTGGGGATGCTACCTGACGGGGTGCTCTGTGCCCTAAGGGGCCCTTGAAGGCAAGGGGATGGGCTGCAGGCCACCGAGCCCCAAAGCCACATCCCCAGACCAGACAGCCCGAGGAACTGGAGGAGGAGGGAGGAGCTGGCCCCACAGCAGACGGCACTTGGCGTGGCCGCAAGCTGGGCCGGCCTTAGCACTTTGCACGCAGAGTCTCAGTGAGTCTTTGCTACAAAGCACACGTTGCTATTATTGTGGTCACTATTTTTACAGAGAAACTTGACCTCTTCGCCAGCCTCACCCATTCAGCCCTATGCTGGGTTTAAGCCATCTTGGAATTCTGGACACTTAGGAACAAGAAGCCCACATCTGCTTCCCAGGGTCCTGCCCTTCCCTGGGGGTCCCCGTGCTGGAGGCAGCAGTTGGGGTGTGGGAAGGAAAGGCCAGCGCTGTGGGAGGGGCTGGGCTGAGGGTGGGCTTGGAGCCAGCACATGGGGGCTAGGTCCGGCTTGTCCCTCACCAGCCAGACGGCACTGGGCATGTCAGGGAATCTCTCAGAGCTCAGTTTCCTGCTGTGGGAGGGAGCTGCTGGCTCTCACCTTGTTGTGAGGACTAAACTAGCTGCCATCTGTGGCCTGCTAGTCATGGGGCTCTGGTCCTCTTGTCACTGGATCTTGGCCTTGACCTCCCCTTCTCTCTCGTGAAGCTGTCGGCTGCGTGGAGACACAGCCACTTCAGTCCTCTCATAAGCCTATGCCCAGCATCTGCCAGGGGCCAGGTCCTGGGCTAGTAACCTGGCACTGGGAGCCCAGGCTCCGCTCTTGTCCAGGGGAAGCTGCAGCCTTGGGAAAAGCAGGTGGGAGACGCAGATTCTAAGTACCTGACCGAGGGACGCCTCGAGGACGTGAGGGAGGCCGGGCACCATCCGTGGAGGGGCCCTGTGAGCGGGCCCAGCAGATAGACAGGGAGCACCTCCATGGAGGAGACAGAGAACCCCTGTGAGGGCCCCGTGGCTTCTGCAGCTCCCGGTGCTGGCTGTGGGTGGTTTGCCGGTCGGCCTGCCTGTAGTTCTCAGTGGCCGCTCGGAAACACGTCCTTTCTTATGAAGACGCAGACGTCACAGCCGAGTTGAAAGGAATCTGAAGAGGATTTGGGTGCTCCTCTGTCACAGCCTAGATCATCGCGAGGCCACGGCCCCCCAGGACAGAGGGGCCCGGGGAGGGTGGGGACAGGAATTGAAGACATGATCAATTAAATCGTCTCCTTCCTCCAATAGGTAGAGTATGATCCTGTGTCCATCAACACTTCCTAACGTGCATGTAGAAGCTAAAATTGTTAAGATTTGCGAAATACTTTTACCTCGAAGTTGGCAGTGACATCATTCTGTTTTTTCCTGGGTGCGGAGGAGTAATTTCAGAAGGAGACATTTTGTAAAATTAAAAGGTATTCACCAAATATTTCATGCATGAGTGTAATCTACAGGTTTGGTGATTAGGGATGAAAACGCATACATTAGACAAAAAAGATTGGATATTTAGAAGCAAATTTGAGATTCAAGTGAGGATAAATTACAGGGAACCTCTTATCAGAGCCCGTACATGCCTGGGTCTGGAGTGAAAGCCTCGGGCTACGGCCTCAGGTGTGGAGGAGGTGGGGTTCTCTCTCCTATTCAGCCTCCCCTTCCTCCTGGGGAAGCTGCTGTGCTGTCGCTGGGGCTGGGCCATTGACTCCCTGTACCCCACCAACCCCACCACCAAAGGGGTCAGTTCAGGCTCCAGCTCCCCCTCCCTCCCCAGCTGTCGGTGCGAGCCCAGCTGTGCCTGCCCTTGGTCCCCACAGGCTCTGTCCTCCGAACACCAGGCTCTGTGTGGGCCCTGGGAGTCCTGGCCCGAGGGGTCTCCCCCTGGGGAGCGCTTGGGAGGGAAAATCCTGCTCTCAGGGTCTCTGAGTCCAACCAAGACAAAACCTGCTCTTCTCAACAGAGGCATGAGCTCCTCCTTCCTGGCAACCTGGGGGATCACAAAGACAGACGGCACCTCCCCAGGCACCTGCGCCTGTGTCCGACGGCAAAGCCATTGTCAAGCGAACCTGATGCTGTCACTGGTCACCCGGAGCCCATCAGCATGTTGACCCGGGGCCCATCAGCATGTTGAAGGCACTTTCTTGCTGTTACAGGGGAGGAACTGCTAAAGAGGCCACCAGACACAGAACACAGTGATAGTTTTAGGTGTAAAATTATTGCACACAGATAAATTCTGGAAACAGCTGCCTAGAAAGTTCTTTATATTGGAAAGTGTGCTTTGAGGTCATTATGCCGGATTTTATGGCCATTTCTTGGCTGAGCCCCGGGATGGCTTATGTCTTTGCAGAAAGGCATCATCACATTTTATGAATGACAGATGGCTTTTACCACACCTTTGCATGATCGCTTATGGTAATAGGACTGCGGTGCCCTGAGACGTGGGGATCTGCGTGAGTGCCCCCGGCAAAGTCTGCTCTTCCGGCCTCGAATCTGGATCCCAGGTGAGGCCTGAGGATTTTATTTCTTCCTCTGATCTCCCTGCCGGCGGGGCCACTGTGGCAGGACAATTCGGGGCCCCGCCCCCCAGATGTGCAGGTGCAGGCCAGTCTCGGGGGGATCGGCGGCTCCCGGGGGGCTGTGTCGGGGGGATCGGCGGCTCCCGGGGGGCTGTGGGATGGTTCCTCTGTCCCAGGGCTCCCGCACGGGAGGGCTTTGCACGTCCACCCCTCCTTTCCTTGGCTAAAGCCTGTTCTTACCAGAAGGTGAAATGAAGACGATTCCTTTTGTTCGGTCCCCTCCACTCCTAAACTCTGTCTAGAGCAGGGGTGGGCTCCCTCCTTGTCTGTGCCGCCCACTCGCCTCCTCGCCTCCTGTCGCCTCCACTCCTGACCCCCATCCAGAGTGTGGGATGCTGGGTTGCCGGTGACCATGGGGAGCCGTAAGGTGAGGGAACCCAGCTGGAGACCAGGGCCCACACCAAATCGTGAGCCTGTTTTTGAAGCTACTGAATGGGTGGAACTTGACTGTTCAGGGGACCCTGGAGGACTCACTCCTTTCCACCTGTGTCTCTGCTGGGTCTCACCTGGCGCCCCTGGCGATACCTGGCTCTGCAGTGGAGCAGTCACCACCGCACCCTCCCCGTAGCTCCATCCCCACGCGTCCAGGATAGCGTGGCCGCTGGTCAGCTGCCGACAGCACACATAAGAAGTCATGGATGGGTCCGAGCGGCTTCCAGGACTCAGCACCCAAAGCAGCCCCGTCCTGACGGTAACAAGCCTGCCCCATGGGGCGAGGCCCTCTCCCCTCTTCCTCAGATTCACCCAACCCACTTCTGTCTGTCAAGAGCAGGCTTGAGGAACAGTCAAGCTTGAGTTCTCTTGGCCTTTCCTGGACATCTGTCCTGAGGCTGCTCTCATTTAAGCCTCACGGAGGAAACCCAAGTTTCTGCAGCAGGAGAGGGGCGTGACCCCAGGGACAGCCGGAGAAGACGGTGTAGAACCAGCTGTCACGGAGCCTGATGTCCGGCCTGGAGCATCAGCCCATCACCTTCAGAGTGGACCCGAGGGCCTCACCTGCCACCTGGGGGACAGGTGAGAGGCGGCCAAGGACCCCAGACGATGAGGGGCAGAGTGTCTGCACTTGTCACCAAAGGCTTCCAGGGAAAAGCGGGGATGTGTGGACAGGAAGGGGCCGGCGGGTGGGATCAGGGCACTGGGCGAGCCAGCTTCCAGTTATGGGGGCTGCGGGCAGGGGAAACTCGAGCCCCTTGCGGCTCCAGCCTTGCCAGGGAGCCCGAGAGCTGGGCTGGCACGCCGCTCTGTGAAGGGCTGGACGGTGTGCTTCAGGCCTCGAGGTCACTCTGCCTCTGGTGCAAACGCTCACCTCTGCCGCTGTGGCCCAGAGCAGCCTTCGACCCACGTGATGAGTGTGTGTGGCTGTGTCCCCACATCTCCTTGTTTATGGATGCTAAAATTTGAATTTCCTATAAGTTTCACATGTCACAAAATAGTCTCTTGATTTTCCAACTATTTAAAGATATAAACATCATTTTTAGCCCTCTGTTGGACAAAAACAGAGGCTGACTTGGGCCCTAGAGCTGTAACTTCTACCTCTGCCTTAGATGACTCTTTTTAAAGCATTCTAGCTGGGCCTGGTGGTTCCCACCTGTGGTCCCAGCTACTCAGGAGGCTGAGGCACGAGGACCTCTGGGTCTGAGAGTTCGAGGCTGTAGTCAGCCGTGACTGCACCCAGCCTGGGTGACAGAGCGAGACCCTCTCTCAGTAACTAAATAAATAAAAGACAAAAAGAGGTAATTTTGTCTGGATATTGTAAATATAGGCTATTTCATGAAGTTTCAATTTATTCACACTTTTTAAAGCGCACTGTGTTGCAGCAGGACTCATACCTGCTGTGTAGCTCAGAGTTTGTGAGTTTCCTCCTGGACTTGGAGACAGCTCACGTCAGTCCAGCCCCGGCCAGGCGATGGACAAGGCCGGCTCTCCTAGGTGGCCCTAATATCCGACTCTCTAGCTCACTCCACTCAAAGCACCCGGGACGGCCCCTCTTGTGGCGGGGGAGCCCCCAGGGAGGCTGAGGCCGAGGGGGCGGGTGCCAGCTGTTGCCCAGCTCCATGTGTGAGAGGCGTGGATTCTCCAGGTCAGGTCCGCTCCAACAGACCATTCCACAAGGAGCTGGTGTGACCTCCGAAGCAGGGTCCTGGCAGGAGGGGTGTACACGCAGGGCTGGCCCTCCCTGGGGTCCCCCTGACGTGGGCGCTCCTGGGTCTGGGAATGTGGGTTTGCTTCCCCCAAGGGATCTGTTCTGTCTCCTCCCCTGCCTCCCTCCCTCCTCAGGGTGGGCTTCAGGCAGCAATCAGCTGCCCAGGGCCTGCCTGACCTCCACCCCCTGCACCAGGGACCTGGGGCTCCGGGGCCCACTAGGCACAGAGGCTCTCCAGCCGGGCCGTGGCCTGCCCCCTCCTCCAGTGTGGACCCTCCGGACAGCTCATCCCCCCGCAGGCCCCTCCATTTGGAGGCCCAGGCTGCTGTCTGCAGGGGCAATGGTCTGTGATGCCAGTTTTAAAGTACAGGATTACAGAAATCCTAAAATGTGGATTATTTCTGACCATCAGAAACCACACAAGCTACATTTGCTGAAATCCTATTGCTCTCAAGGGCTGTGGAAGAGACATAACCCGAACCTCAACCCTAACCTGGGAAGACCCAACTGCGACCCATACAGGGCTCTGGGGACCCGAGGCCTTGGTTCGTGCCGGCCACTCGCCTAGTGCTCCCTCCAACCACCCTTCCTGGAAAACTCTTACCCACCCTTCAGGAGCCTCGTCAGATATCACCACGCCTGTGAGCCCTCCTTGATGGGTTTGCTTCTCCTCCTCCCGGGCGGCCCCACGGCAGCTTGGCCATCTCACACCTCATCCTGGGCCAGAGGCCTTGAGAGCTGGGA
Source organism: Homo sapiens (assembly GCF_000001405.40). NCBI lineage: Eukaryota > Metazoa > Chordata > Mammalia > Primates > Hominidae > Homo > Homo sapiens. The sequence continues at coordinate 179,605 of NC_000007.14, read as the reverse complement.
CTGCCTCACCCTCCCCTGTTGTCCCAGCCCACAGCCGGCGTTGCAGAGGGCCCGGCTCTCCCTCCCACTGTTCCCCGCTGCCTCTGGACCGTGTTCTCCCTGTCTCCTGCCCTGTCTCTCCCTCCGCTCCTCGAGGCACACATCAGCTCAGCCCCGCCTAAGCTCCTTCCCAAGGACAGCTTTGGGACCTCTTGTCCCAACCAAATAAACCCTGAGAGCAGCCAGCTACCACTTCCTGCCGCTGCGGCTTCATCTGGGACAGAAGAGTCCACGGAAGCAGCTTCTCTTTTCTTGGACTCCGGCAAAGGGGTCACTTGAGGCTGCAGCTGGAGCCGGTGTCCCCGAGGAGTCGCCGGGGAAGGTGCTTCCCAGCAGATCTTGGGATCACTGTCAGGAGCTTGAGAGGAGCCAACAGCGGCTAAAACAGCGATTTCTACAAACGTCACAATTCAGCAACAGGCCTGCTTCTGCCAACACTCGGGCGGCCGCTGCTGTTCCTGCCTGGGTCCGTTTTCCTTTAGACGCATCGTCCGGTCCGCACGAATCTAACAACCCTGACGGTTGCAATCTGCCGTGGGAGATGGAGCTTCTTACCTGTAAAATATTAGTGCTTAAAACCACAGCTGTGGGACTGGTGTGTAATTCCAGCTGCCGCTGCCCACCTGTCATCACGGAATTCGGAGATCACGTCTTTCCCTCCGCATCTGGACTCTACCTTTCGGCTGCCTCTGGTCTGGGGGCCCCTCACGAGGGATCCAGACACAGTGGGCAGAGGCGACGTCAGAGCGGCTGCCCCCGCAAGACACCTCCTGGAGGCCTGAAGCCTCGCGGTTCTTAGACGGGCACACGGGGACCTGGGAGTGAGCGTTTGCTGAGCGCCTGCTGTGGGCCTGTGCCCGGCCTCTACTCACTGTCGCACGGCAGCAAGACTCCCCGCAGGCGGGTGATCGCGTCCCACCTAAGGCGAGGAAACAGGCTGGAGGACACGAATCGGGGGTGCGATGCGGCCCCAGAGCCCGCCACCTCTTGCAGCATGGAGGGGCCTGCATGCAGAGACCACACCGTGGCGGAGGCCGCATCTGGGGCCGTGAGGGGACAAGCCCAGCTGCACCATCCTCCTGTACTTCCTCCTTTTGAGTCTGGCCTTCGGGAGGGAGGACAGTGGATACCAGGCCTCAGCATCTTCTCGGTTAAACCGAGGAGAGACCACGTCGGGGTTTCTGCCCGTTTCTACAATCCGAGCAGGACGCTGCCTTCCCGACCTCACACTGAAGTGCACAGTCCCCTCCTCACCACTGTGGCTTCAGGGACGTGGTCGGCATTCCCTCTGTGTGGCCTGCTCGTCCTGGCTCCGCGTGAGGGTTCCATCCCTGAGCCCGGTACTGCAGGACGCCCCAAGCAGCGGAGGGAAAGGCCAGTGGTCCTGGCCCACGGGGAGCCTGGGGTCTCTGCCTTTGCGAGCTCTGGGGCTGGAAGCCTTGGTTTCCTCCTCCATGCACAGGAGCACACAGGGAGCCTGGGGTCTCTGCCTTTGCGAGCTCTGGGGCTGGAAGCCTTGGTTTCCTCCTCCATGCACAGGAGCACACAGGGAGCCTGGGGTCTCTGCCTTTGCGAGCTCCGGGGCTGGAAGCCTTGGTTTCCTCCTCCATGCACAGGAGCACACAGGGAGCCTGGGGTCTCTGCGTTTGCGAGCTCCGGGGCTGGAAGCCTTGGTTTCCTCCTCCATGCACAGGAGCACAGAGGGAGCCTGGGGTCTCTGCGTTTGTGAGCTCCGGGGCTGGAAGCCTTGGTTTCCTCCTCCATGCACAGGAGCACACAGGGAGCCTGGGGTCTCTGCCTTTGCGAGCTCCGGGGCTGGAAGCCTTGGTTTCCTCCTCCATGCACAGGAGCACACAGGGAGCCTGGGGTCTCTGCCTTTGCGAGCTCCGGGGCTGGAAGCCTTGGTTTCCTCCTCCATGCACAGGAGCACACAGGGAGCCTGGGGTCTCTGCCTTTGCGAGCTCTGGGGCTGGAAGCCTTGGTTTCCTCCTCCATGCACAGGAGGAGATGCACATGGTGCAAGACAGGTAACCAGGCCTGCGAAGAGTGGCTGCCTCTAAGGTGCTCAGTATCGGGGACCGGCTGAGGGAGGGACGTGGTCGGTGTAGCAGGGCAGGAGCCAAGACGCCTTGTGCAGGAGGAGTTCCCTGGGAAGTGGAGAGAAGGTTTAGAAAGTGAGGAAAAGGCCAGAGGCAGCAGGTTGAGTGTGTCCAGTAACCACAGGGCCTTGGGCAGGACACCCCGTGATGTCAGCCAGGCCTCGGCGGTGCCCTGGGGAGGGAAGGAGCTCGGGGAGGTGGTCACAGACCTCCGCTGAAGGGGGAGGGCTCTGCTCACCACGAGCTCACACACACGCGCATATGGGTCGGCCTGTCCGGCTTATGGAGAACAGCCAAGCCGGGGGCAGCAGTTCCCACCCCTCAGATCACCTGATCCGGCCCAAGGATGAGGCACTGGTTTCCTACCACAGGCACCAGTGGATTTCTTTTCCCAACAGAGCTTGGATGTGGCCAACCAACTGCTCAGCCCACACGCAAGGCTGCTGTTGCGGATGGACCAGATCTGGGGTGATAGCTGGAGCCAACCTACGCGTCAGCTGCACCCCTGAGCCCACGCCCCACCCACCCTGAACAGCTGAAGTCAGTTTTCAAAGCAGGATTCACTGCCTCCCACCTCCCTGCACCTCAGGGAACTGTTTCAGACCCTGGTGGGACCTACCCCGTGGGCCACAGCCTCACACCCGTCCTGGGGCTGGGAGCTGGCAGCATCTCCGGGACACCAAGGAGCCCCCTGACGTGGATGTGGATGAGCTTCAGCTGAATGAGGCGTCCTCCCAGGGCCGGCCAGGTCACCCAACTGACTAAAGTGTGGGGCGGTGGCCGACTTCGTGGTGCTGGCTGTGCTGCTGAGTTGCTGTGGAACCCTTTAACCTTTCTGTGCTACTGTTTTCAATATTTTGAGTGACCCGAACGATTATGCAATGTAAGGTATCATTATTGTAAGAAATTGCATCATTATTGCCCTCCTCCAGGCTGAGAGAGGAAACCTGAAGAAGGCCAGATAGGCTGTTCCCAGTCTTGCCCACCTGAGGGGCAGGACTTACTCACCAGCCTGGGCCTTTCAAGACCTATCAGCCAGCAGCAACGATGGAGAGCCCAAAGGCAGGGTGCAGGGCAGGGAGGTGTGCAGTTGTGTGTCTGGGCAAGCGTGCATGCACAGGTGTATACATACCTGTATCCGTGTGTGGCCATATACACGTACATATATAGACACACCAAACACACAAACGTGCATACATGCCTGTACATATATGTGCCCATATACATATGCATGCACACACTTGCCAATCGCACATGTGTATGCACGTGCACACACACACGTACATGTAAGCAAATGTGCACATGCATGTACCTCACATGCACACACGTGTTTGTGTGTGTACACATACACTGTATTCATATGTGTTCATGTAAACACAGGTGTGTGCATGCCTGTGCACACGCACACACACACAGCCACACACACACAGCCACACACTCCCTTCTTCAGCAGGAACCATGATGCAGATCTTCTGCATACCCATAAGCTAAGCGGGCAGCGCCGGCAGAATCAGATGCCGCAGGCAGCGCCGGGGACTGGTGCAGAGCCTGCCATGGGAATAACATGGAAGAGACAAAATCTAAACACACCCCCATCTCCAAAGCACCCCACACACTCACAGAGGCAGGGTCTTCCTGCTGGCTCCGCTGTTCGGACTGGGGCTGACACCAGGCTCCCCGGGCTCCCAGCCTCACCCACGTGTCCTTCTTCATGACTGTAGCTTGCAACAAAGTCCTTTAGTCTGTTTCTTCACGATTCTCTCCCTGAAACACGGAACTCAAGAAGAAAACGCAGTTTTCGCACCTGAAGACAGAAGTATGACCGCAAGCCTTGAGCTGCATCTCGCATTAAAAAATCAAGGCCCAGATGCAAGGAGACTTCAGCTCAGGGGATGGGGGTAGTTGGCAGCTTCCTCCCACGTGCCGCAGGCGGTGGCCCTCAGCCACGCTGAAGACCCCTGCCCCTCTCTATGGTCCTGGGGGCTGGGAATGCCTCTTGGCGGAGAGGGGCTACAGCAGGAAGCAGCGGTGGTGGTGCATGTACGGGAAAAATGAGAGATGCCGAGACTTTTGCCAATGCAAACCTCTCTGCATCCTCAAGGCCTGTTCCTCCCAGAGCTGGGACTCGTGGCCACCAAGCGCTGGGGTCCTGTTCACCCTGTCCTGGCCCCGCCCTGCCGTACCTTTCTTGCTGACACTAATGGCCTCCCAGGGGTGCTTCTTGGCCCCTCTGCAGGGGAAGGACAGCTCAGGGGAGCGGCGAGGTGGGGTCGTGCCGGGCACACCCAGACGTCTGATCGCCACGCTGGCTCCGGCCAGCACAGGCGGCATGAGGCCCACAGAGTGCCTGGAAGAAGCCCCACACAGCATTGCCAGGTGGAAAATGCAGGGCCCAGTGCCCAAAAAAGACCAAGCAAAGTTATTAGGCCTCAAGCACCTTTCCAGCTTTCCTCTTAAAAAAAAAAAAAGGCAGAAACTTTCTCTCTAGGCCAAGGATAAATTAGCTAAGGACAAATGCAGCCCAATGATCATTTATCATCACAAGCCTGGAGAGGATCCTGGGAGTCCTGTCCTGGCCTCAGGACTCAAGGGCAGAAGCTGCTGCTTTCCTTCATTATTTCTATTTTTAACAACTGCGTTCAGGCTTCCTGCAAAAATAGCAAGAGGTGAGGCCATTTCAAGCACTAACATGCTCCCCTTTTGTCAGAAAACCCCAGGATGCAGGAAAAAGCGGCCAGGACTTCAGCAGTGTGGCACCAGCGGAGCTGAAATGGTCCTTCGCTATGCCCTGATCCCTCGCCCAGCAGTACAGGGGGTAAACTGAGGCCAGAGAGGGCAGGCAGGTGCCCAGGCTCATTCAGTAACTGAGACCCCAGAACACTGGGTGCTGCCCCCTCTGAAATGCAGGGCCGGGTGGCCAGGGCCTGGCTTCCCTTGGTTGACAGCGGGACCTGGTCCCTGCCTGGCAGAGGAGCTGTGAGGGCAGAGCCCCTGCCGCTAGGCATCCCACTTCTCTGCTGTCCACCGTCGCCAATGCACCTGCCTCAGCAGACCCTGAGTTCGTGTGCGTCACCTGGCCCCGCAGAAGCTGGGCATGCTCAGTGTCCCACCACAGGGAAATCAGGACGTGTCCCTTTGGAAGGCAGCTAAGGGGTGCAGAAAGGGTTTGGGAACCTCCTTCGTGCATACCTGTGTGTACCTGTACATGTGGATGTATGCACATGTGTATGTACAAATATACGTGTGAGTGTGCATACACGTGTGCGTGTATGTGTGTGTGTACATGGGTCAGTGCATGTCTGAATGTGCACAGCCACTCCCTCGAGGCCCAGGGAATGGGGCCTCTTTTAAAAGGGCCAGAAGCTCCAGCTAGCTGCCTGCTCCTCCCCACCCAGGGTGCTAGGCATGGGCCCCCCATTCTGAGGGGCTGCACTGAGACTGAGACAACCCTGGACCCAGGCCTTGCCTCTCTACACTGGAGTAACTCAGAGAAGGTGACAGCCAAAATTCACTCCTGGTCTGCCAGGCACCAGGAGGCCCTCGCACACCGCTGCCTCTCCCTGGCATGCATGGAGCCTGGGGTCCCTAACCCTAACCCTAACCCTAACCCTAAGGGTCTTGTTGCACGTCACCTGCTGAGTGTGGCTCGGGAGTGTGGGTCTCAGAGCAGGAGGGGCCCTCTTTGGAATTCACCCTCTGCGAGGCTTCCACGCCGGCCGGCCTCCTCTTGGTGGCTTGCTGTGTCTGGGCCCTGGCCTAGCCCTGTGGTGACCTCATGCTGGGAGTGCAGAGCCTCCCTCAGAGCCCCGGGCCCCATGGCCCCTGGAGAACCTCCTGCTCCTCAGCGATGGGTCCTGGAGAGTCCACAACTCCACTCCGAAACCAGATCCCGGAATCTGAAATCAAGCTCACCGGACCAGTGTGTCCAAACTGCCCCTAAATCCTGTGGCCGTGCCCCTTCCCGACAGACGCCCCGTTAGCTCCCGCTGCAGGCAGGCAGCCAGCGTTCCTGAGGCCTCAGGCTGTCCTCTCTCCGCTCACAGCAGACTCCCCACTCCCTTCCTCGCCCCTCTGTGGGCAAACCAGGCGGCTCAACCCATCCCGTGTTCATTAACTCCCTCGTCTACAGCCCCTGGGGTGGGCTGGCCCAGCCGAGAGAAGGTTCCCTGCGGAGGTCCCTGCCCCATCTGTGGACACAGTGCTGAGACCCCCTCGCAGTCCTCAGAGAACCCAAGCTTCGGCACTGGCAGCGCGGGGCGGGTCCTGTCCTCCGAGAGCCTCAGCTGGACTGGGCTGACCTGGGCCCTCTCCCTCCGCACTGGGCTGACCTGGGCCCTCTCCCTCCGCACTGGGCTGACCTGGGCCCTCTCCCCCCGGACTGGGCTGACCTGGGCCCTCTCTCCCCGGACTGGGCTGACCTGGGCCCTCTCCCCCCGGACTGGGCTGACCTGGGCCCTCTCCCCCCGGACTGGGCTGACCTGGGCCCTCTCCCCCCGCACTGGGCTGACCTGGGCCCTCTCCCCCCGCACTGGGCTGACCTGGGCCCTCTCCCCCCGCACTGGGCTGACCTGGGCCCTCTCCCCCCGCACTGGGCTGACCTGGGCCCTCTCCCCCCGGACTGGGCTGACCTGGGCCCTCTCCCCCCGCACTGGGCTGACCTGGGCCCTCTCCCCCCGCACTGGGCTGACCTGGGCCCTCTCCCCCCGCACTGGGCTGACCTGGGCCCTCTCCCCCCGAACTGGGCTGACCTGGGCCCTCTCCCTCTGAACTGGGCTGACCTGGGCCGTCTCCCCAGCTCCTCTGACCCGCTCTTGTCAATAGGTGTTTTTCAGGCTTCCTGGTTTGCTAAGGGCCCGCATCCCTCTCCTCACTCCCCTCGTGAAGCCAGTGTCACAGATAGGCTGGAGTGGGCTGCCTGAGAGGAGCTGGCCCCCTTCTCCGCACGTACCTCCAGCTTGCCCCAGGGACCCTCATGGCAGCTGGACGTTCCCACGAACACGAAGTGTCCCCCACTCTCCAGGAAGGGCCCAGGTACCCTCTGTTCTCCAGATCTCACTGGCTCTGCTCCCTCCAGAGGGAGCTTACAGAGAGCAGAGTCTGAGGCCCTTGATGCCAGGATGGTGGGGGTCCCGGGGTGGCTGCGGCTCCTCCAGCCCCAGAACTGTGTCTGGTGTGGTGTTCCACTGAGCAGGGTTTGCAGGCCTGTATAGAATTCCAGGAGCAAGCCCTTGGCCTCCTAGCCCCTGTGCCCCACCCAATACCTCCCACTTGTCCCCATGTGCGTCTCAACCTTGTGTCCAGGCTGGACCCTCACGCGGGAGCTGAGCCCTCCAGGGGCCCTCCCCTGTCTGCACGTGCAGGTGCTGCGCCCGGCTCCGTGCAGATGCTGTGCCCAGCCCTCTACTCTCCGCAGTGTCCAACACAGAACTGAAGCGTGCCCCAGCAGAAAACGCAGATGACCGCATATTGAGATTTTTTAAAATTTCTGTGAATGTAGCTTTTAAAAAGCACCTGAAAGTAAAATGATCATTTCTCAACATAATATTAGTCAAAGAAGTTACTGAGTACCTTCTTGGAACTTGAAATATCCTCCTGAAGACAGGAAGCCAGAGGCAGGAGAGGAGGTGTGAGCCGTGGGGCTCTGGACCTGAGAGAGCTCCCCCTGGAAAGCAGTGAGAGAAGGGTGCAGGCTTGCAGTGAGAAAAGGGCTGCCCTGCAGCGCCGTGGCCCTGGGCTTGTGCGTCCACACGCAGGCACTCCGGGCGCCCTTTGCGCCCAGGACACGGAGGGGAGGGGACACGGCCTTCCGTGTGGGTGTCGGGGAGGAGGCCGGGGTGGCCACAGGTGGGCGTGCGCTGCTGCAATGAAACCAGCCGTGTTGAGTGGCTACACTGGAGAGAGCTGCTTCCCAGACAAGGGGAGCCGGGAGGGGGGTCGGGGAGCCGGGAGGGGGTCGGGGAGCCGGGAGGGGGTCGGGGAGCCGGGAGGGGGTCGGGCAGCCTCAGGACGGCCAACCCCTAACTGTGAAGGAGGTGGTTGTACAGGCCCTTGATGGGGACAGCTTCAAACGCTGCTGTCCCACGCACAGAGCTGAGACTTTATGTAAATTGCGAGATGGCAGCAGTGCCCGTAACGGCGGTTTTCCTTGTCTGTTGCTGCTCAGCAGATGACCCTGGCCTGGATCCTGAACAACAGGACGACTTTTTTCTGTGGCCGGGCGGCCTCTCCCGACTGCGTGGTCTCCAAGCTCACTCGCATGGCGGCTGGTGGGATTCTCTCCTGGGGCTGCCGGCACTGCCTGGGGTTCCTGCTGCATGCGCCTCTCCGTGGGGCCCCTCACTTCTGGATACTCCCCAGAGGACGCCAGCAAAAGGGTAAGACAGGCCACAGGTGTCCCAGCCTCAGCCCAGGGGAGGCAAGGCAGCCTCAGGCCACCCCCGGGACAGGCTGCATGGGGTGGACACCAGGACATGGGCTCACATGGCCGACATGCACATGGTCTGCCATGCGCCCCAGATGCCCACTGATGGCAGAGCGGGTGCACAGCCTGTGGGGTACACACAGGAGAATCTGGACAGGAGTGAGAAGTGAGGACCCCGCCACTCTGACATAGCTACGACAGGACTTGTCTCAGCCATGATGCTGAGACCAAAGGGCGGACCCAAAGAGGACCTGTCCATGTTCCGTTTGTAGAAAATCCTACAGCAGCCGAACCAATCCACAGTGTCAGATTCAGAGCAGCATCAGCGAGAGGAAGGGGGTGGTGGATACTGACGAACCAACCCTTGCGGGTCCTGTCAGCGCCCAGCGAGTCACCGGCTCTGTCTCTCGCCCCTCCTGAGAGACCCCAAAGGTCTCATCTGAAGTAGGTGTTTGTGGCCTTGTAAATCTGCTCAGCCTCTTTGGAAATCAAGACTCACAAGTGATTCACTCTCACCAACTCGACAAGGCCATTATTCGATGGAAGAAACAAGAGACAAAAATAACAAGAAGAAGACAAACTTCCATTTCTAAAGGCATTTGTGGTATTGCCTGTAAAAGTATTTAAATTGGGAATCAAGAGAGTGTTTTCAGCATTTGAAGGATGGATGGTGAATAGTGATTTAGGAAATTAACGCAATATGTACAATTATTGGCAATGACGTTTTCAAAGTGACAGATCTTGAGAAGACAGTGCCGATTGTAAGTTAAAACCGTGTTCTATGTGCACTAAGATGGAAACCATGCGGAATACGTCCCCGTGAGTACTTCAAGGGATGCAGATCTGTGTGAAATAAAAAGAATGTGTAGAAGTAACGGTCTATGGGTGTGTGGCTTCCGCAAGTCTCTCTAACAACAAGAGAGCTTTTGCTCACAGAGGAGATGTAGGGCGTCAGGGCCCCGCTGAGTGGGCAGGAGCCACCGGGCTGGGTGTGCAGGATCCAGGCGGACCGTGGTGCAGGGAAGCAGGGCCCAGTCTTGGAAGAAAACAGAGTCCAGGGCTGGAGGGAGCTGAGGTCGGGCGCCCGGGCTGAGGAGGGGCTGGCAGGTTCCACTCCAGCCCCCTGCCCAGATTCATCACCATCCGAGAAACCAAGATCAGTGACGTCAACATTCTCCCAAGATGATGCTGGAGAAACTAATTATGGAGAAAAAAATGTTAAGAGAATGGAAAACCAGGTGTGTGCATGAACGTGTTTTTACCTTTGAATCAATTGTGATCCGAGAGCCTGATGTCTGGAGTGCCGTCTGGGGGACAGGACCCCCGGCCTTCCTTCCACCGTCCTGGCCGTCACTTAACCAGGGTCTTGACGGCAAGAAACAAATCACCCACTGGTTCATTTTACAGCTCATTAGGCAGGCACAGCAGACACCCATTACCGCCTTTGGCATTAAGGAGATTTTGAGATGGAGGCACTGCGAATGACGCTGGGATTAGCAAAGGTCAGAGCGAACATTAATGGAATTCTCATCCGCACAGAGTAAGTGGATCCATTTCCTGGTAATGGTGTGGGAGCTATTAAAGCAAGGTTGGAACCCACACAACGAGGAGATGGCAGATCCGGGCAGGACCGAGGCCTCTGCCTAATGCACTGGTCTCTACCGCCTGGGGAGGCCCTCCGGAGGGGAGGGATGCCTGTGTTCCCCGGGCGCTGGGGCACAGGCGGACCTGATGGTGCTGTTTCCAGCAAAGGCTCCACCTAACGATTTCCCCAGCAGGGTCTTGAGCTGAGGCAGAGAGTAGCTCAGGTCCATTTTTCCTTTGAAATGATCCTTGTGACTTTTAACGTGGAAATGCTTTAGATTCACTGGATTATATATATAGATAGAGAGAGAGAGAAATGACTCACTTTGTCACCCAGGCTGGAGTGCAGTGGTGCGATCACATCTCACTGCGGCCTTGACCTCTCGGGCGCAAGCGATCCTGCCACCGTGTCTCGCTACGTTTTAATTTTTTGTACAGGTGAGGTCTCACTACGCTGCCCAGGCTGGCCATAAAGACCTGGGTTCAACAATCTGCCCACCTTGACCTCCAAAACTGCCGGGATTACAGGCATGAGCCACCACCACACCTGGCCTGGTACATATAAATTTTTTTCATTTTGAAGACCTGCAAATAAAATTGAACAAAACCTCAAAATGCAGCTGCTGTGAGGGTTTTGAGGTGGGGGTTGGCAGAATCCTCCATCAAGCCTCTCACCAGACCTCGGGCAGCAGGGACATCCCTGCAGCTGTGTGGGATCTGAGGGGCCCTGGTGAGACCTTGTACTGTGGGGAGTTCCAGCTGTCCCTTTAGACGGAGACACCCAGCCAACAAGGGGACTCACACACGCGTTTCCTCAAAGTGGACGCCCACTTGGGGAGGGCGGCTTGGCTACCAGCACCTCCTTCCATGGTGAAGAGCACGCGCGGTCAGAGACGGATCCGCCAGGGACACGGACCCTCCAGGAGACGGATCTACTAGGGACACGGATCCACCAGGGACACGGACCCTCCAGGAGACGGATCCACCAGGGACATGGACCCTCCAGGGACATGGACCCTCCAGGAGACGGATCCACCAGGGACACGGACCCTCCAGGGACACGGACCCTCCAGGGACACCCCAACCCCAGCCGGACTGAGGATGCCCATGGGACTCTGGCCAGGGCCTCTGCAGCAGCTGCCCCGAGGTCAGGACTTGGTCCACACTGCCAGTTTCTCTGATTGTTTACCACCACCCTCCCCACATCACTCCCACCTCAGGCCCAGCCAGAGAAGCCACGGGTGCTCCTCTAGCCTGACGTGTAGGACGGCCGGCTGCCGGCAGCCTGGAGCTCCCCCACCCGCTGGACACAGTGACGTTTGGCCCCGAGGCCACCGGAGGCTCCTGTGCAGAGCCTGTGTTTGCTCCCATTGCAGGCCTTTGTGTATCTCTGCCTGCCCCATATGTCTGGTCATAGATGACAGAGGCTCCATACCTCAGCATCCATCAGAGGTGGCACCACCCTCAGACTTAGACAAGGCGCTCAGGGAGGGCAGAGCTGATGTTCCCTTTCTGTGTGTTTGTGTTCTCCTTTCTCAGGGGCTATCCTGGAGTCGCAGTAGAACTGGACACAATACAATCGAGAGGTGGGGTCCTGGTGCTCGCTGTCCTTGTGGGAACACTGTAAAAGCATCTGGCTGCTGATCAGACGAAAGTGCACAGCAGGCAAGGAAGCTCCTAGCACGGTAGAAGCTCATTCTCCACGTTGAGAGACGTGAATAGAGCCTGTTCCTCACACAGGTGCTGACTTGGAGCTTGTGATGTGTGTGGTCAGGACGCAGCACCTCCCGCTGGGCCACCGCAGCCCTCACGAGGTCCCTCTCGGGATGAGCTTCGTGTCTGCCTTGGGGGCCTCGGGGGCTCTGACACGGGGGCAGGAGGGATGGCCTCGCGCTGTCTTGAGTGGAAAATAAGGGAAATGTCCTTGGAAGGGGTGATTAGGGGGCAACTTCTGGGGGAGCTGGGAGAAGAAAAGGGCTCTGAGGCTGGCCTGACGGTCCTGCCTGTGCAAGAAGAGGAAGCAGGAGACGCTCTTGTGATACCAGGAACACCAGCTCCCACTGGGGAGGAGCCCAGCCTGCAGGCAGAGCCTCCAACCGGCACCAAAGGGGACGCCAGCCGGCCAGGTCTCGGGAGGAAGGGAGGGTGGGTGAACACCAGGAACCTCCACCCAGGGGCCTCGGCTAAGCCCTCTTCTCAGCGGACACCCTCACTCCAAGATGTCTCAGCACAGGGGCCTCCCCAGGGCAGCTGCAGCCTCAGGAAGGGGCCGTGAGCCCCACACCCCACTTCCTTCTAAGCCCACGCCTTCCCGCAGACCAGCTCCTGGGTCAGGTCCTGGCCAGTTGGGAAGGGCTGGGCCTTGTGGGTTCACCAGAGACACTGTAGGGTAAGCAGCCAGCTGAAGGGGTTAATTTTATAGGCTCGAGGAACACGGCTCCTTTCAGGTTGCTGGTAGGGCTGGGAACGAGGGGCTGTGTCTACACAGACATCCCCATTGTGGGGCTGATTCAGGGAATTGATTCAGAGGCCACACTCGGACGTGCACCTGCACAGAACTAGGGCACCCCACCTGTGTGGAGCACTCGCCGTCCTGTCGTGAGCCTGGGGGGCAGCGGTGGCCTGGCATGGACCCGGGCACACTGACCCTGCCCCGCACCCCAACGGTGGCCAGGAATTTTCTGGAGCCACAGGGCCCTGCCACATGCACCATGCAGGGAGGTCCACGGATCCCCCAGGGAAGAGCAGGTGTTGTCAACACCAAACCACAGGTGGCAGGGCCCTAAGGGGCTTTCAAACACCCCCCACTAGAAGGTCAGACTCTTGGTCTCCATCCATCCCCAGCACGAGGTCTGTGCAGAGAGTGAGGGCACTGCCTCTTCTAGACCTCCTTGTCTGGCCACGCGTGCCCTTTCCCCAGCTGTTCCTGTTCCTCCAGCTGCTTCTGTGCCTTCCCTCACACTGTTTTCTTGAGAAACACACAAGCATTTGCTCCTTTCCGGTCTCTACTCATTAAAGGCCTTTCATTCCCCAAGCACTCAGAGAGACTTCCTCTGAGCAGCCCCCTCCAGCCCACCCAGTGGCCACTACACCCACTGCCTGCGTCCTGCTGTGTCCCCCAAGGCTGGGGTGAGACTCTCACATGTCTCACATAAGGAAGGAGGGAAAGAGGGAGAGAGGGAGGAAGGGAGGGAAGGAGGGAGGGAGGGAAGGACGGAGGGACAGAGAATAGGAAGGAGGAAGGGAGGAGGGAGGGAGGGAAGGAGGAAGGGAGGGAAGGAGGGAGGGAGGGAAGGAGGGAGGGAGGGAAGGAGGGAGGGAAGGGGGAAGAAGAGAGGGAAGGAAAGAAGGAAGGAGGGAGGGAGGGAGGGGAAGTTCCTCCACAAACCAGCCACCTCCCCCCATCACAGCCCTGATAGGACTGCCCAGCCTTTAGCCCACAGGAGGATTTTAAGCTGCTGCCTGTATGTACTTAGAGAACAGTTTATGGTTGCTAACGTATAATTTTCAAAAGGGTAAAATCGTGATTCTCCAGCAAATGGAAAATGGGCACACGTCGAAGATTTCATTGAATTCATTAACAAATGAGGGGCGATGTTATGGCAGACGCTGTGACTGGCTGCTGAGCACACTTCACAGAAGAGGTGTTTACAGGCAATTTGACAAGAAAGGCTGAGATAAGACCTCTGGGTTATGGACTGGTTAATGTCCAGCCGGCCTGAAATCTGTGGATTATCTGTCTCCCTGGACAGAGATCACTGCATCTGCCTTCGGCTAAAATCCAGATAATGGGACACGTCTCTGAGTCTGGAACCTTTGAACAGCAAACTGGGAGGTGAACTAAGTCCCCCGCAGCCCAGGTCTTGGGAACCAGCCCAGGTCTCGGGAACCTTCCCCCCAGCCCTGCCCACTTTAGGGACTTAGTTCCAGGTTTCAGATAACTTTTTCTGACAATAATTAACTTTTAATGTATACTAAGAGAAATGATCACGAGACATCAAATCTGTGACAGAAAGTCTCCCATGTAAATACATTTATCTAAGTACAACATTGGTTATTTTAAAGGAAGGTATGTTCTTAAGTAAATAATTGTGTAGGCACCTGCCCGTCCCAAGGTGCCACAAGGCTGTGAGTGACATTGTTTTAAGCTGCTGGGCAAACCAAATCTCAGCTCCATAATAAATGACGTCTTTAATTCAGTGATGCTATCTTTTCATTGCAATCAAGTTTCTAAATATTTGGGAGGAAGTCCTGGCTAGTCCTGGCACCCACCTCCACCTGTTCCCTCCCCAGGGCGTGGCTGCCTTCTTCCCAGGTTTGGAGAGGCGGTGTCCTCTCAGGCAGTGGCGCGTTGAGGCTGCTGTCAGCTGATTTTATGCTGAGGAGGCCCGGCCTGGACATGGGAGCCCCCACAGTGGCCAGTCCCTCCGCCTTCTGGGCACATCCTGTGGTGGTGGGGTGGGTGTGGGGTGGAACTTCCTCCCCCGGACAGGCCAGCCACTCAGGATGGGGCCCTGTGCCCTGCTCACATGGGCTGTGCTGGTCTTCAAACCGGCCTGAGGGTCAGCAGAACATTTGCAGGTGGAGATGGAAGGAGAAACAGCATCCGGTCAGCACAAACCGTAAACAGCAGGTGCTCGGGTGTGGAGCTGGAGCCATGTGTCTCTGTGGGGAGGAACAGGGGTTTGAGGGGAACATGGGGACTGGGGCTCAAGGCACCTGGATTTAATCTTAGAGACGAAGGGGTGGGGAGGGAGTGCCCACGTGGGATCTGAGAGGAGACTCGCTGGCAGAGACTGGGCAGATGTGAGCCCTCCCTGCGATGGTCAGCCCTGCTCCTGATGGCCATGGAAGGAACATTTTTCTCCACCCCACTAAGGTGGGCTTTGACCACGTGGACGCTGGTGGATGTCCGCAGGCCCTGCAATGTGTTCCAGGGAATCGGCTTCAGGAAAAACATGCCTGGAGCTCAGCAGAGTGAGGGGCACACAGAGCAGACCTGACTTGAGCCTCAGCCTGGACCCCCACCTGACACTCAGAGCCCTGGGGAGAGAGGCCGTGGAACCGCCCGGCAGCATCACTGCCTCAGCACCTGCCAAGATGGAAATGGGCACGTTCAGGTCAGATAGGAGGCTGGGGCACACTCCTCCCTCGCCCCCGACCACCCACCCTCCAAGCCTTAGTTTAGATGTTCCCTCCTCAGATCAGCATTCTCTGCCCTGAGCCACGGTGGCGCCTCACTCCGGGGCCTGCGTGCCTCCTGCCTGTCTGAGTCCAACCTCAGCTTCCCAGCCAGCAGCTCAGGAACCCACAAGGTCGTGCAGCTGCCGAGCCGAAAAACGAATGAGCAGCTCTCGCGTGCAGGTCGGCTGGGTGGGTGTACGGCTTCATGGCGAGGCATCTGGAGTGAGGGAGGCTTGCTTCTCCTGCGGGGCCCTTGCTTTGTGTGTCTGGACAGGCGCCGTCCTCGTGGCTGCCTGGGACTGGGGCCTCTCTCCATCATCACAGTCCAGGAAGAGGGGTGGCCAGTCCTAGAGCTTGAGCTGAGCTGCCCTTGGTGGCTGTGGAGATGAGGAACTGATGTTGATGGTGCAGTCGGGAAGGGAGATGTGACGGATGAAAAGGAGACCCCGATTTAGCAGGAAGTGTGGAATTCTGTGATCCTGTGCTGCTGGTCCCTGCAGAGGTTTTGGCAGTCCCCAGACACTGCTGTCTTGAGAGGAAGAGGAGTCCAGGCAGCCACAGCAGAACGCTGACCCCTCACTGGTCTGCTGACTCCTCACTGGTCTGCTGACCACACAGCACGGCCTTGGTCTCCAGGCTGGCCCCCTGGAGTCCTCAACCAGCCCCAGAGGGAAAGGAGGTTTGCCAGAGGGACCTTGCAGCCACACGTGTGGCCCCAGGATGGCAAGGACAAGGCCCCTGGCGAGGTGGTGCTCATTCCATAAGGAGTGGTTAGAGTCACTCAGCAAATCCATCCCACGCCTGCCACGGGCTTCCCCCTCCCCTGGGCACCACCGGCCACCCTAAGCTCAGAGACGTGGTGGAACCCCTCCCGTGTGGCGTGGTGCCGAGACTGAGGGATGTGCAAGCTGTGAGGAGCATGTGGCCACAGCCAGGTCTGAAAGACAGCACTCCGAACCAAGCAGATCGTGTGAAACTGCAGGCCGATGTGATACGGAGACCAGGGTGCAACTTGCTCTGTTTTCAAGAGGAGAGACTTTGGAGAACTGTTATAAAAAATGGTTGCTGTGTCTGCAGGCTCACACGGGAACTCTGCTGTAAATATTTCTGTGCCAAGGCAGCACAGTGTTGCATGGGGGCCTGAGGGCCTGTGGGTTTGATTCATCCTTTCTAGGATGTCTGCAACATTTCTTGGATGTGAAAGTTTGTTCTGAGCACGACAGTTGGAAAATCACCGTCCGTGTCCTCTGAGCTAGGACTCACCTGCTGCAGGGAAGGAGCTTTGCTTAGCAGACCACGTCACACTCCCAGGATGATGAAGAGGGGATCTCCTGCAGGGTCCTGGGGACAAACCCTGCTGGCATCTGGCCATGGGGGAAAGAGCATCCGGAGTGAAGGGGACGACAATAGTCACCACAGTGGCTGGAGATGAGCCCACACGGTCGTCTTCCCCAGCGGAGACGTTCCCTCCCGTAGGAGGGTGGGTCAGAGGATACAGAAGGCGCCGGCAGTGACCAGGAGCAATGTGCAGCCTCCTCTCCCCCAGCTCCTGGAAGCAGATTCCGTCCGGGCACAGGAAGCTTTCCCGGTAATTGGCTAACGCGCCACATGACTGCTGTCTGCCAGGCTCTAGGAGGTGAGAATTCCTCCTCAAATTAACCTCATACCCAGAAACCCATCATCGCCACTTACCAGGATGGGAAAGCACAGTGTCCTCTAAAGAAACTTACATTCAAGCTGATGATCATACTCAGACAGCTAATTAAGAGCTAATTATTCAAATGACGGATCAAAGAACCGTGCATGCACCCAGCTTTCCCCGGAGACTCGGGTCCCCTGGCACTTGCATCCTGAGTCGGGGAAGAATCCTCAGCCACATAAGTGAGGACACATGTTTGCCAAGAAACCTCAAGTCTACATTCATAGCGGTGTCTACTCAGAGGACACAGGAAAACACACACACACACACACACACACACACACACACACACACACCCGGGAGTCCTTGCAAATGGTCCCAGGCTTCATGAGAAGTCCGTGCTGGTGACAGTTGGAACGTGTTACTCTGGGGATAGCCTAATCACTACGAAATTAATTTTCTGAGCTCCTGAGAAACTTGCCTTCCTAAAAACCAAGATGGATGCAAATGAACAAGGACTGAGCAGCCCGAAGCGGGTCCATGGGGGTGGCAGCGGCACCCCTAACTCTGGCCGGGTGAGGGGCCCCGTCCAGGCAGCCTCAGTCCAGGCTCTAAGCAAACGCCGTGGCCCACAGGTGCTGCTTCTGGGATGGCGTCGGGACACTCCTGCGGGGGTAGCAGAGAGCTCGGCCCACCGACTAGCCGCTCTGCCCGCTGACCTGAGTGCTTCTCCGACCTCCGCAGTGGACGTTCACCTCTAAACCTTCCTTCATGTAAATGTTTGGTTCCCATAGCTGAGGCAAATGCCCTTGAAAATGCTTCCATCAGGAAACATTCAGACACCTAAATATATACTTTGTATCAAGTTTAATGAACACTTTGCTACTTTTGATGACTATGATTTCTTTATCTACCTGGTAAACAGAGACCAGGAGCCTTTTAGTTTTATTTCACGGAAAACACGTTGCTCAGTGGCGGCTCTCCAGCGGCTTCCCGTGCGGTCGTCCCATGGGCTGTAGGGAGGGGCCACGCACCACCCTCCTGGGAGGTCTCTGCCTCTCCTCTCAGGTGTCCGCCCCCCGCCCCGGCTGGGACGGAAGCCCCTGAGGAGCTGGTGGAATCTGGTGTGAATGGGAGCGCTTTTGCTCCAGCACTTCCTGTCCAGGCCTCTGGGTCCTGGAAGGAGCCAGGGCCGTGTAGTTCTATGAATGTGGCACCAGGACCTGTCCCCCCAGGCCTGGAGGGCCTAGAGGGAGGGAACCTGAAAAGCCCTTGTTCTCAGAAACGCAGGCTGTGTTTCCCATGTGCACAGATTCCTCAAACTCACCTTGTGGAGAGGACACAGCTGCGTTGCTCTGAAGCCCAGGGGATGTGTGCCCCTCACGGGTGTGACCTGGGGCACCGTCCTCAGAGCGCTCGGTCCCTCAGAGGTGTGATCGGCCCAGGTGAGCACACCGCCTGCTTTGCAGCCACCTCTGGAAGGCTATGAACTCAAGTTTGATGAACAGAGAGACAGCTGTTTGTCCAGGACCATCAGCCCTGAGGGCAGATGAGACCAGGCTGATGGCGGCCACCCTGCTGCTCCGTGCAGAGGAGCGGCCTGCGAGTGAAGCCACACAGAGGGGAGACTTCTGAGCGACAGGCAGGGTGGGGGCCCAGTGAACTGTGGATCTCTAGATCCACTGTCAGCTGCAATCCTGTCTTTATTATGTTTTAAATGTCATTTTGTCTGATTTAGTCTGGCCTTGGTTTTTATTACCTGGAACTCAAAGAATCTTTAGTTCTGTGCCATGTAAAGGAGATATTATTCCAGTTTACACCAGAGAAGTTCCAGGCGTAGACGGGCAAAGTGCCCAAGCGCACCCAGCCAGGAACAGGTGCGGCCTCGTGAGCTCCAGTGACCCTAATCCCTTATGAAACGTGGGGCTCAGGCTCGACACGGCATGGGACTCGCTATGCCAGTTTGCCAAATGCAGACTGCAGGGCACCCACCAGCAACGATACTGTTCAGTAGGTTAGGGCAGGTTCCGGAAGTCTCCATTTTTATCGAACGTTCCTGGTGATTCTGAGGCAGCCCCCATCTTGCTGAAGACAAGCCCACTGTGCAAGCCTGGCTGCATTTGGCCCCTGGTTTAACATCCGCACGCAGGATTCTTGCCGGCCGGGCGCGGGGGCTCACGCCTGTAATCCCAGCACTTTGGGAGGCCGAGGAGGGTGGATCACGAGGTCAGGAGATTGAGACCATCCTGGCTAACACAGTGAAACCCTGTCTGTACTAAAAATACAAAAAATTAGCCAGGCGTGGTGGCGGGCGCCTGTAGTCCCTGCTACTCGGGAGGCTGAGGCAGGAGAATGGCGTGAACCTGGGAGGCGGAGCTTGCAGTGAGCCGAGATCACACCACTCTGCACTCCAGCCTGGGCGACAGAGTGAGACTCCATCTCAAAAAAAAAATATTCTTGCCAAGGATCAAAGCCTCAAACGTTCCCATGGACTCTCCACTGACCACGGAGGAGCTGGGGAGACGCTGGAGGACACGCTGTCTCTCCCTGGGTCCCGCCACCGGCTCCAGGCAGGTGTGCACAGGGCAGTGTGTCAGCCTCGGTGTCTGAGCCCCGCCGGGGCCCGTGAGGGTCCGTGTGAGAATCGGTGTCTGAGCCCCGCCGGGCCCCGTGAGGGTCTGTGTTAGAATCGGTGTCTGAGCCCCGCCGGGCCCCGTGAGGGTCCGTGTTGGAATCGGTGTCTGAGCCCCGCGGGGCCCGTGAGGGTCCGTGTTGGAATCGGTGTCTGAGCCCCGCGGGGGCCCGTGAGGGTCTGTGTTAGAATCGGTGTCTGAGCCCCGCCGGGCCCCGTGAGGGTCCGTGTTCGTTAGAAGGGCTGTGTGTGCAGTGGACAGGTGGCACCCATGCCTTCCTCAAGGTCCTCTTCCTTGGTGGCAGGGGGCTCAGGCCCGAGTGTCCCCTGCGCTCTGTCATGTTCACTCTGGGACATCACAGACCTCGGTCGCCTTTTTGCACTGGTCGATAGAAGCTACCAGCAAATGTGTGGCCCACTCTGGTGCCTGAATGGGAACTAACAGACTTCATTCTGTAGCTGCTTCCTCGGGCCGCGTGGCTGTTCCACCTCCATCTCCCTCACTCTGATTCCCGCAGGTTTGTGCGGCTTTGCTTTGTATCATGTGCCTTTGTCTCAGGGATGGACCCCATTTGGAACGAGGCGGGGCATCCCACAGACCAGCTCAGTTCCTACCCCAGAAAGAAGGGCTGCTGCTGAGAACTGAAAGGTCTGCTGGAAAGGAACAGCTCTGATGATAAAAACTTTGCCCCCGAAACTCATATTTCATAGGCTCTTTCTGAAGAAAAGTGAAACAAATAGTGTAGGTTTAATTGGATCCACGCCTGCTGGATCCAATACACACAGCAGCTGTATTTGTGCTACCAAAAGGGGGCTGGGGAGGGAAGGTGGTCTAGTGGGAGAAGGGAAGCAGTTATGACCAGGAGTGTCAATGAATCTGCCATGTCACAGAATTTTCTAAGAGACGTGGACCAATTTGGTGGCTGGGCTCAGAAGTGGCAAAAGGCGACAGCTGTCAACCGCCTCCCCGCAGCACTGCACCTCCCTGCTGCAGCCACAGCTGCCCTGTCCAGAAATCCTGGGGCCTCTGCACCGCCAGGCCCTTCTCCACCCGCTCCAACTTTGCTCGGCGCATGTGGGTGAGTGCGTTAGGGTGGAGGACATGCACGCCGGAATACTGACCCAGAGCTTCTGGAAGCCTCCCTGTACGCATTGTGATGAGAAGGCTGGAGTTCCAGCAGCCACGCTGGCAGGGAGCATGGAAGCCATGAGCAGGGATGTGAGGCCCAGGAGCAGAGAGCTCCTGGCTCTGGAGCCCCTGGGAGCTTCACGCTGGCTGTAAGTGCCAGCTGCCATGCTTCCTGTGCATGGAAGAAAATGCGCTCCATCTTGTTTCACCCACCGTGATTTGGGGTTCTGTCTAGGTGGCTGAACGTAATCACAGGGAATGCCAAACACCACTGCCCAGTGTGCAATGATTACACAGCAGCTCCCACAGTACAGCCCATGTCAGCACCCTCTGTGATGTACCAGGGTTCACCGTGGCTGCCTGGTCCCCAGGCCGCTGTTTCAGAAGAGTGGCTGACTACGTCAACCCTGCACGTCCAAGAGGCGGCTCTCATGGCCCAGGAAATCCACAACAGGTGTCTTTGGTCTCTCAATATTCCCTGGCTTGTCCAGCTCTCACTCACTATTGCCCCCACCCTGTGAACTGAAGTGGAGTATTATTCCCATCGTATCAGTTGCAGAAAAGTCAATGGCGTAGCATGGCGCAACATCTGTCCCCTCCCCTGTTGGTGTCTGGGAAGCCGCAGTCTGTGCTCACCAGGTAAGAGCTCCTGGCCCAAGCCTTTCGAGCATGGCCCTTCCAGGCTGCTTGTCACACTGAGATGTGAACAGAAACAGAGCTGGGTAGGCAGGCATCTCCAGGGACACCTGGCAGAGGGACGGTGCAGCTGCCATCTGGCCGGGTTTGCAGGACGCTCTTCCCATGCAGCGTCTCACATGTGCCTCGCTGGAGTCCTTGGAGGTGGGGATCATTGCCACAGCTTTGCAGATAAAAAGGAGGCAACCTGCCATGGTCACACGGGTGCTCCGCCCATCAGACGTGAATTCATGTCTGTCTGAGCCTAAGCCTCTGAGCATTCTCTGGAGCGCCATGCTGTGTGGACAGGCTGTGACCATGAGCCACTAGAGCCCGGCCTGGGTGTGCCGTAAACCCAGCCCGGCCTTCCATTTCCAGGCCCTCTGAGGGATGTGCCTTTGGCCTCTGAGGCCCTGAGCTCCACGTGGGGAGAGCTCAGCCCCAGGCTGGCACCTGCCATGCCTCCTACGGAAGCAGCCACGGCCCCGAAAGACAAGACACCCTGCACAGAAGGCAGGTCCACAGGCCCTGAGTGCTGGCAACATACGTGAAGGAAAAAGAAACGAAATGCTGGCCAGAAAATTCATGCTCTTGGGCCAACCTCTACTGGAAAAGGCCAGGCGACATTTCTAGACCTTTTGTGTCCCAAAAATTAAGCAGTGGGCTCACACAGCTTTAAGCCAGCAAGCTCAGTGATAGCCTAGCTTTCATTGAAACAC
Organism: Homo sapiens; assembly: GCF_000001405.40. Lineage (NCBI taxonomy): Eukaryota > Metazoa > Chordata > Mammalia > Primates > Hominidae > Homo > Homo sapiens. Next base: position 157,484 of record NC_000007.14, on the reverse strand, counting down.
ATAAGCTGGTCCATCATTCATAATAACCTAACGATGAGTCTTTCCTCATGTTTACGGCTTCAGAAAGAGAAGGTAGCAAGTGACAGGTCTTGGTAATGTCTCCAGTCATGTTTCTTTCATTGTGCCCCGAAAGCAAGGCTGTCCCCGTGGAGGGTGCAGAGTCAGTGGGGAAAAGGGGAAGAGCTCCTTCAGCTGATGACAGACGTGAATGGGAGAACGTAGAGGCTGTTTTCTCATTCCAAAGGAAAAGGAAAAAGAAGAATCAGAAAGGTCCCCTGTCCCCTCCTTCCCTCCAGGCTGGACTGTGTCCCGAAAGGAGGCTGGCCACGGCCCCGTGGCTCGTGGGACTGCCACTGGTTGCCCGGCCGTCCAGGAGGTCTTCATCTGCGGTCTCCCCCTCTGGTGTCTCTAGGTGTTCCAGGACCCTGCAAGCTAAATCCAGTGCTATAAAACAGCTCCTCTGTTTGCAGGGGGCTCTATGCAGAGGCAGCCCCGGCAAATCCCTCCTGCGCCGTGAGGCTCTCCAGGCTGATTTCTCCACCCCTGCTCTGGAGGAGGGAGGCCTCTGAGGCAGGAACAGCCCAGCCCCGGCATTTGCAGAGATGACCACTGGGTCCCGTGTAGGGCCAACCTTCTGCCACCTTCCGGAGTGCCCCCAAATCTGTGTTCTCCAGCCCAGACAACCCCGCATGTCCCATGAAGAAAAGTGCCCCACTGAGGTGCGGGCTGGAAGCCTTTTCAACACTATTCAGCTCCTGCTGAGAAACCTCTCAGGTCCCGCAGAGCGCAATGCAGAGCGGAGCAGGTCCAGGACCAGGGCAGGGCAGAGGGTACAGATGGAGCAGGGCCGCCCAGGATGACGGCTGCAGGTGGAGTTCTGGAAAATTATCAGGATGATGACAGACCAGGGCCGGCGGTCATGGCTGAGGACCAGCCCCCAGACACTGCTGAGGAGAAAGAAACTGTGAAGTCGACCTTATTTTACTCTCAGTCACTAACGTTTCTGGGCCGTTAAAGGCGGATGGCACAGAAACAGGCTGAGTCCCTCCAACCCCACGGAACCTGTCCTGACAGGAGAGACCCCCAAAAGGAGCCAGGACGTCCTCGGCGGACACAGGGGCCAGCGTCCCCATGCCCCTGAAGGTGGAAGCCTGGGGCCTACCAACTGGTCCTGAGGTCCGGGTGAGAGGAGGGCCTGTGGCGCGGGGGCTGGGCAGTCACCCTCACACCTGAGGCAGCAGCTCTGGACAGGGACAAGCCCTAGAAACTCCAGCCTCCAGTGAGCGGGAGCCACTGCTTGAGGGGGCTTGGGAAGAGGGATCCTCTCCTCACTGGCTACGGCGGGAAGAGGGCTTAGTCTTCGTGTGCTCAGCTGTGAGAAGCCTAGAAGTGCTTTGCTGTCGTTTCCTCACTTAATAAAGACAGCAAATCAGCCTCACACTGCAGCCTCCTGGATTCTTCCCATTTCTCATTTCCTCACTTAATAAAGACAGCAAATCAGCCTCACACTGCAGCCTCCTGGATTCTTTCCATTTCAACAACCTTATTAACTGGTTAATTCCCAGGTTAAGCCAAGTAACCCGGCAGGTGACTGGGAAAGCTGAAGGTTCCATGCCTGCTCCAATTAATGTCTTCTTAGGACAGACTGGAGAGTTCAGATTCACTCTCTAAAATGACTCAGAGAAAGAAAATTCACTGACTTATGAAAAGGTCAGTCTCCATCACTGACAGCTTCATATCACAAAGAAAGGCATTTTCAGAGCAGAGACACTTGATCACTGGGAATTACTGACTCCCAAGCCCAGAAAATGCCACTGGATACCCGGCAAAAGACCTCCATTAGAGCAGAGGGAATCAGACGGCACTGGTGGGATTAGCAGTTCCAATGGCTCCCAGAGCTCAGAGCTCCCAGCCAGGGCAGCCACACGTGAGGGACTTCTCACCAAATGCAAGTGAGCTTTGAGCTAATGCTTCAGAAACAAACTGGTTTTACAAGCAGGCTTTAGGTTAATGGTACACTTTTTTAAATGAAATAAAAAATGAAACTACTTTTTATTGGCTTATATAAGGGATCTGGAGTCATCAGCCTCTTGCATTGGTTTTATGCATGCAAACATAAAATGGCATTGTTATCTCAGGGTCAAGCTTATATTGGTAATTCTGGGTCAATCCCTCTGGCTTTTCTATAAGTATTTGAAAATACTGATATGATCCTTACAGGACTTCTCAAATCTCCTGGGGGCAGCATCCTTGGCCAGGATGTGCTCAGGGAAGACCACAGGTGCATCTGTCCAATAAATCAATGACTTCCCCCAATTAGCATAAGAGTTAAATATAATCAAACTATGCAAACTAGGTGTACCATGAGGTAAGTAAACCTCCTTAGAAACCAACTGAACACGCTGATCAATATCTGAAATTGTGGTATCTGTATAATTGCAGTAATACTGCGATAATCAATATCTGCATAATTGCAATACAAAAACTACAAGAATTTGATGTAATAAATGAAGATTTTACCTAGTAGGTTAACAAAAAAGAGCATGTGCTGGTAATTTATGTGCTGGTAAACATTTCACAGCTGGATCTCAGGAACAAAAATGCATGCATGCATATACATGGATAAGTGTATTATAAATTTCAGTGAAATAAAGCATCTGCAGTGTACAGTTTACAAATATAGTATACAGTACTCATTTTTGTAAATTGTATATGACCAATTGATTCTCGCAGAAAACATCGGCTCATTTCTGGAAAACTCGTTTCTGCAGGGAGACTGTAGCTGTATTTGACCAGGGAGGGTAGGCCCGACACAGATGCTAGTGAATGTTCTTATTTGCATTAATGAGTAAGACAAAACCAAAACGACAAAGCAGTCAGTGTGATCTCGTTTGTCAGTGACTTCTCTGCTGAACTGAGTAATTGTTTTTAAATGCCAGAAGAGTTCTTCAATTTTTTTGCTGTTCACAGTGCAATGGCTTCAACACTTTTAAGTCTAATCTGCATTATTAACACCTTCTCCATCAGTCTGAGTTAAAGGCCAGCTCTGGTTTGTAGCACTTGCTGGCGTCTGCAGCGTCAATGCATCCACCGTGAGCCACTCCAAGCTTCCACCTCGGCAGGGCTGAACAGGAGCACGCGGCGTGGGACGCCTAAGACAGGAGACGTCTCCTGCGGACCGTCCAGGCTGCTCTCGGGGAGGCTGGCCTGTGGACTTCATCCATGGGCTTCCATGGCCTCTGGCTTCCAGTCCTGTTTTGCCATTGGCGACCCCTGGCAGGGACTGGCAGGAGGCAGGAGGATGAGGTCTAGGTCTTATTCTCCTATGGGGTCATCTTAGTCTCTGTCTGGCCCTCGGTGAAGGTCATGGCATCTTTCAAGGTGACTCTGTGCAACCTGACTTCCAGAATCCATTAACTGCTCCTCCCCTCCTGCCTTCAGACCAGGGTGAGAATAGCTCTGCTATTATTAGGTCCAGAACACTGCACTTTTTTGGTAGTTTTCCAGCCCTCTGCCTATGTCTCTGCAAACAGTCCCCTTACCAAGCCCTCTGGGGATGACGCTAGTGTGCCCTGCGTTCCCGCTGGGACATTGACACAGACAGAACCCATACAACAGCAGAACTCCCCAGAGGACAGCCTCACCACGTGCACAGTGAACGGCCTGTGTGGGTGCTCCAAGACGACAGCCTCACAGCGTGCACAGTGAACGGCCTGTGTGGGTGCTCCAAGACATCAGAGGGGTCCCAGAGTTCTCCAGAAAAAATAACTATTCCACGTAGCTGCTAGCGTGAGACGCTGGGCCAACCCGAGCATGTGGGGAAGGCACCTTATGCTCTGCCATCACCCACAATGTGATGGTCTTGGGGGTGGGGCTTTCCGAGGTGAGTAAGTCATGAGGACCCGTTGTCGTGGAAGGCTTGAGTGCCCTTATAAACGAGGCCTGAGCTGGAAGGCGCTGTGAGGAACAGGCCCTCCCCAGATGGCAACTTGGTCTTGGACTTCCCAGTCCCCATAAATGTGAGAGATGATTGTCTGTTATTTTAAGCTTCCCAGTCAGTTACAGCAGCCAAACTTCTATCAAAAATAATAAAAGAACAGCAATTAGAAGTTTAAGAAATAAAAGGTCTTAGTTTAAATATAAAGAAACTTAAATGTGGCAGGAATTTAAAGAAATAATGGAGGACAAGGAGAAAGCGCATCTGACCTTAAGGCTGGGAACGATTCCTTTGAGTGACTCAGGGGTTGTGGTCCTGGGCCTCAGGGAGGGACATATTCGCCCAGCAGACGGCTCAGCCCTGGTGCACACCCTTCATACAGATGTGCACCAGGGGAAATTCAGTTACGGTTAAAGGGCTAAATGCATACTTCATCAGCTCATCAGCTATAAAAGCAATCCTCTAATAGGATCCGGGAGATGAAAGAGGGAGTGGGGAGGGAAGGGTGGGGCTGGAACCTCCTGGCATTACAGGGTAGGGACCACCGGACACTGTCAGAAATGACGCGACAAGAAATAGCCTTGAGTACTTTCAATTAAAGCAACAAAGGCAACCACAGACAAGCCAGGCCTACTCCCACCACTGCCACTGCTGGCCGCGAGGGAGGAGGCCAGCAGAGCCCAAGTCCCTGGCGCGTCAGTGCCGCTGTGCTGCTGGTCCCCGCTCACCTCTGCCTCGTTTTCGGGCTCTCTGTGTGTCCTGACACCTGTGCCTCTCACTTGGTGGTCTTTCCTCCGTCCCTTCTTGTTTGCCCGGCCCCTCTTACAGTGTAGCACTCTAAAGCAGCTTTTCTTTATGGAAATCTGTTTATTCCAAAGCTCTGAGGCAGTGTTATAAATATTGGTTTAAAACATTAGCCAGGGGATTACTGATAAAATATAAAATAGAAACAATTTCCCAAGGAAACTTCATCTAAAAATACACCAGTTTCCCCTCTCACCTCACTTGAGTAGAGGCACCAGAGGGTGTGTCAGGACCTGTCTCGGGGTGAAGGTCTCACTTCCTCACGCCTCTCCCACATGGCTCCCAGGAATCCCCCAGGAATGGCTTGGAAAAAAAAAATCTGTGACAATGGAGAAGAGTTGCCCCCAAAGAAACGTGCATATAAACAGCTCTTCCAGCTAGAGAAAAAAAAATTCTGCATAAATAATTCAGATTGCTGAGCTTGGTCCCTCATGCCTGTAATCCCAGCACCTTGGGAGGCTGAGGCAGCAGTTTGAGACCAACCTGGACAACATAGCGAGAGCTGGTCTCTACAAAAAATACAAAAAATTTAGCCAGGCATGGTGGTGCCTGCCTGTGGTCCCAGCTACGCAGGAGGCTGAGCTGGGAGGATCACCTGAGCCTGGGAGGCTGAGTAAGCCAGGATCACACCACTGCACTCCAGTCTTGGCGATGGACTGAGACCCTGTCTCAATGATCAATAATAATAATAATTCAGACAAACCAGGTCGAAAAATGTCCTGAGACGGTGAACTCAGGACCCAGCTACCTGGGGTGGACACTGTGGCTGATGGACCGGAAAGGGTAACACCAAAGGGCTCTAGGAGGTGTCTCATGTCTGGCTGTTGTCACTCCCCTTGGCCGCTGAAAGCCTTTCTGTTCCCCAGAATCGAGTAAGGAGCTCCTGGACAGAAGTGGGGAAGGAGTCTTCCTGCTCAGGGCTATGTTACTTAACTCCGTTTAAGTGACAGAGCATGAACAGGTCATATTAGTGTCACATGCACCCGATTTCATTCTCCATTTGCAACAATGAAGACTGTATAACGACATTGTTAAATACCCCAGAATTATAATTAAATCTTATTAGCCAATAGAATCTGAGTGTGCTAAAATCTCTATTAGCCGGGACTGATGTAGCCACGATGGCCATGCTCGGCGCGGCGGCTCACACCCGTAATCCCAAAGCATTTCGGGAGGCTGAGGTGGGCGGATCACGACGTCAGGAGTTTGAGACTAGCCTGGCCAACATGATGAAACCCCGTCTCTACCAAAAATACAAAAATTAGCTGGGTGTGGTGGCACGCACCAGTAATCCCCGCTATTTGGGAGGCTGAGGCAGGAGAATTGTTTGAACCCAGGAGGCGGAGGTTGCAGTGAGCCGAGATCCTGCCATCGCACTCCAGCCTGGGGGACAAAGCCAGACTCCATCTTGGGTGGGGGTGGGGAGGAAGAGGAGAGAGACCAAGCAGCAATATCATCGATAACAAATTACAATCCAAATTCTAGGCGGTGTTCTGGGACTGGTTCACATCCAGCTTGGTCTGGCCTTGCCACTCCCACAGGGCAGGACACACTGAGGTCTGCCTGGGGGTGCCTGCTCTGGCGGCTGGGCTCCCCGCTTTCTGCAGGCTCAGGTGCCCCCTATTCCTGCAGCCCTTCCTGGACCCAGCCTGTCCTCATCTCAAACTCGGGGCTGCTGGCCTGAGCTTGATCCCTTCACCGTTTCTCACTAATACGTCACTCTCGCCTCTTAAAAGATGACAAAGACTCTCTCCTTTGACCACACTCGAGTCAGGCTCCTCTGAGCCCTCCCTGTGACCAGTCCCTGACCTTGGCCGGTTTCGGCCGATTTAGCAAGAATCCTGCTGAGTCGGTTTAGTGAAAATCGTCTACTCTTGGTCCCTGATCAAAGTCCTCAACTCCCACCCTCGGTCTGTGACCACACTGCCTGCCTTTTCAGCAAAAATCCTGTCTATGCAGCTAGAACCCGCCTTGCCCCTGACCCTTCCTCTTAGTAATTTTCTCTCCACTCCCGACCCTACGCCTGGGCTGTCAATTCCCACTTTTTCTATCTGGAGTTGAGCCGGATCTGCCTCCCCTAACCCAACATCTCGCTTTAGCAGCCCCCCCACCTTGAATAAAAGCAGCCTTGCCCTCTTTAACAATTAATAAGCACAGACTGGGACAGGACATCCCCCTCCATCCCAGCGCCCATGCACCCTCAGCCACGGTCCTCAGACCTCAAGAAACCCAGCGGGTGACAAGCTTGGGTGTCAGCGGGGCTGGGATTGCTGCTGGGGGCACAGGAGCTCGGGAGCACTTTGCAGGTGAGCAGGGCCTGGACAGGGGCTTCTCTGCAGCCCACCCCTGGGGAGGACTCCGGGCCCTCGCCCTGGACGGCAGAGCTCGTTTTGCTGTTGCCCTACTGTCTCCGCGACCTTGGGGGTTCACTTAGCACCCCCAGGCCAACACCTGGCCTCTCCATGCACCAACACCTGGCCTCTCCTTCCCTGGCCTGCCGCCCTGCCTGTGTCTGGACTGTGGTTCACCGAGTGTGCACGTGGGCCTCGGAGGCTGCCCTATAGAGCCCAAAGTCCCAGGGAGGAGCAAAGGGGACCAAGTGCACACTCACCCAGCTTCCTCTGCCCGGCAACGTCCCTGCCCCCATCTCCCCTCCACCGCCACCAGGGCCTGCATCCCCATCTGCAAAGGGGACAGGGTGCCCACGCCTTCTGAAGCACGCGCTCTCCAGGCCGCTCTCCGGGCGTCACCCCGCCCTGCTCCCCTCGCCCCTGCACAGCCCGAGTCCAGCCTGGTCGCTGCCATCAGGACGATCAGGACCGACCGCCACCATCAGTGGGGACCGGCCAGGGCGGTTAGGCCCGGTCCGGGGCCCCAGGTCCCGCGTCCCCGCCGAGGCCAGGCAGGGAGGCCTGGCTGCCCCGGGCTTTAGAACCAAAATAAGCCCCGAAATGATTGGCGGCGCCCATGCGCCAGGAGAAAACCTAAAGGACGAACGTTCCCGAGTACATATAAGGACGATTAATATTTATTGCACAACTTTTTTTTTTACTTCCTTGTTAAAGAGGAAAACCTTACGCTAAAAATAAAACGACTAGGAGCCCTTGTGCCTGCGTGGGTGGCGCTCGCGCCTTTAAACCTGAAGCCACAGGGGCTCAGCCCCCCACCCGCGCAGGGCGGCTCCTGCGCATGCGTAAACAGAAGGGGTCGGGGCGCGGCCCAAGACGACGCCAAGGGAGCGGACGGGCGGGGAGGAGGTGGCCTCTGCGCAGGCGCAGAGAGGAGCGAGCGACTCCTGCGCAAGCGCAGAGTGAAGGGCCGGGAACAGTGGAGGGTGCGAGGAAGACAATGGGGGAGGACCCTGAGGCGGCCTCTGTGAGCCGACAGGAACACGTGGTCGATCAGAGAGAGACTCGTAAGTGCACGGAGCTGATGAGGTGACTATGGCGTTGCGCAGGCGTCCTGTAGAGGCGGGTTGTCATCGGCGCAGGCGCGGTGTGGAGGAAGCCCCGGCGCCGGCGCAATGAGGAGGCGGCCGGACTCGGCGCTGGCGCAGTGTGGAGGAGGCTCCGGCGCAGGCGCAGACGCAGGGCGGGCAATGGCCGCCTGGGTCTCTCGGGCAGCCCTGCCCACCTCTCTCGCGTCTCCTGGTCTTGGCCTGCGGCTCTCTTTCTGGCAGGTGCCGCGGCGTCTCCTGCGGGCCTGACCGTGTTCTCCCGCCTAGCCAGGCTCTTCTGCGCTCCTTTTTTGTTGAGATTTTTCCATCCCCTGCACAGGAAGTGTCCTTTAATTACTCCAGTGTTTTTTTAGTTACTTTTTAAGAAACATTTTGGACTTTTCGATACAGAATAGTGTCAAAAAAAAAATTTAACCTTCTTCAGGTTATATTTTAGTGAATGATATTAATATATGTTCCAAAGTTGTATGGGATTTCTAAAATTCTAATTTTTCTGAGTATATGCTACCGATCATAATTATGGTTATGTTGTTGTTATAACCAAATTTCTTTGTCAATTGTGTCTTTTTGAGTATTTAAAGTCATTTCCGCAGTTAATTGCTTCATGCTGATGTAGTTTCTGAAAACTTCACAAGCACACAAAAATCCTAGAACATGGTGTCTTTTAGGAGGTTCGTGAACGGATGGGGAGGACCCTGAAAAGCACTGTGGAATACAGGTTTCTAGTAACTTCAAAATCACATCATTTGGACTGGGTAAGAATTGCTGAAACTTTAATGAAAAGACTGACTGGCTTATAAAACTGCTAACCCAAATAGAATAAAAATTAATTGAATACCGAGGAAATGCTTCACCAGGTTTGCATACTTAATCAGCCTATACTGAAATTGTTTAGATATACAATTTGAATGAACTCCATGGTCTAAGTCAAATTACCTGTGATAACCCATCAGTTATCCATGCTATGTGCCCAATTTGGAGAAACAACTGGCACCCAAGAGGACATAAGTCCGATGTTAAGCATGGACTCATGGAGAACCAAGATGGCTGCCTTGTCCTTCGTGAGTCCTTAAAGCTTTTGTTATTAAAAGTTATGCATTCCATGACTCATCCTGGAAAAGATAAAATGATCCAAATTAAATATGTTGGTGTGGTGACTTACAGATTGTTAAAATAGTTTATAAACAATGTTTAGTTTGTCAAACCCATACTCCTGGGAAGTCAATCAAAGCTTCATGTACATTTGGCTACCTGATGAGGCATTTAAACATTTATAAAGGGGTTTCATTCAGTTGTCATTTTCAATGTATGTGTTCTGGTTGTACTAAAGCTTTCCCATGCAGGAGGGCTAATGTTATAACAGTAGATTACTATGTATCAGTGTATTTTCACCAGGTAAAGAGCTTTTTATGGTTCACTGAGGACAATCAACCCCTTCACAATCTAGAACCCAAAGATGGGATCTTCTGAGAACATCAGAGAAACGCTGCCCTTGGCATCATCACTGCAACAAAACATCAGGATCTTGAACCTTGGGGTCATAATCTCACAACTGAGCAGGGTCACTCTTGGAACTCTACATCCATTGAAACCCTTAAGGTAAAGCTAATCAGGGAAGTTTCTCCCCAGAAGAAGATGGCATCCTTGATGTGAGCAGCTCTTTCTGAAGATCATGGATCAAGACTTCTTACTATCATGAGACTCTTATCTTTGAATGTTTTTCCGTTGCTTCCGCCTCTGTGAACAACAGAAGTGAGAAGGGGGTCTGTTTTGTGCACTTATGGGGTATACTTTTATTTGTGAAGGGCTTTGCAGCCAGCTTTATACATGGATAATCTTATAACTTGATAGATAAAGATGAAGGCCCAGTGTATCATAGGTGAGAAACTTCAATGGTACATATGGTGCCTCATAATCATTCAGAAGCAGAACATTGGTTCACTCCTCTTAACCCACAGCATGGGTTAAAGAGACCATTGCCAAGAGGCCTTCCCTCTTCTAGAAGGGCATCATTTGTTAGGTCCTTTTTCCATGGTTTGGAATTAAAAAGGCAATGACTAGAAACATATCCCTCATGGTAGACTCTGTAGCAGATTCTACTGTAAAGGCTACACAACAGATGTTAAATTCTCTTGTGAAAGTTATGCTAAAAAATAGAATTGGCTAAACAGGAAAGTACCTGTGCAGATGCTGGCACTTAAGGCCTATGGAGAAAACATCAGGTGTTATAGAGAGTCTGTTGTAGGGAATTAACGAAAAGACCACTGAGTTAAGTCAAAGAATGGTCTATTTGAGTTTAGGTGGTCTGGTTTATGGGGACCCTGGCTAAGGAGCATACTCCAAATTCTTGGTGTTAACCCTCTCAGTAGTCATAAGAATAGTCTCCCTGGTGCACTGTATTCTCTCAAAGGTTTTAAATGTTTGCATGAAGCCATCTTTAGAACGTCAGATGGTCTCTCTTCAACTGGAATGACAAGAGCTGAAAGAAATGTGTGACCACGAGGACACCGAAACCGATGAGTGACATGCTGAGACTGGAAATCCAAAATGATAGTAACGGAGAGTGGCGCTAACATCCTAAGTTTTGGTCACACTCTTGCCTAAGTGACAACCTGACAAAGGGGGAATTTTTTAAACAAAATGATGGGAGGCCATTGTTTTGGACTGAGCACTAGGTCCCAACAGACCAAACCGAACCAAAATGGCATCATTCGTGCTAAATGTGACATAATCGAATTAAGACTTTAAGGAAACACATGGGTCCTAGAATAGACCAGGTTTTGTTTTTCTCTTGCAAACAGGACTTTCCAGCATAAGGTGGTATCCTCAACTCAGTCCTTGTTCCTACCTTTGCAAAACTCACTGTTCTGCTTCCTAGTGGGTTTCAAGACCAATGGTGACAGTGACATCAATAACTCAAGTTTCGATCAATCTCTCAAAACTGATAAAATGACCAAAAAGGGGGAATTGTTAAAGCGAACTAAATATGGCCTGAGAAGGACTCCGTACTTCTGTATTGGAGTCCCTGTGAACAAACTGAGCCTAACTTAATAGGTAGACAAGATTGAAAACCTAAATTAGGAGTATGTACCTGTCACAATTGCTGAGTCTCGGCCAGTCCCAGCAGCCGTACTTCAATCACTCATACACTGCTGAATGTTCAAACTGTGTGTAAATAAGGCAAATGCCAACCTGTAACTAATCCAGGTGTTTCTCTACCTCACTTCCCTTTTTTTGTCTATAAATCTTCCACCACGTGGCTGCACTGGAGTCTCTCTGAATCTGCTGTAATTCTGGGGGCTGCCCGATGTGCAAATCATTCATTGCTCAATTAAACTCCTTTAAATTTAATTCAGCTGAAGTTTTCTTTTAACAAGAGTGAGATAAGAATCTGTGTTCTTATCCCCCAGAATGGACAAATCAGTAGCGTTCCTTGTCATTCTTTTGTGGCTGGTTTCACGTAAATATTTTGTGTGTATGATAATAGAATTTGATTTTAATGAATATACTTTAAAAGCAACTTTTTTTTTATTCTTCCTCACCATCGAAGATGGAGAAAAATAAGAAGGGCTGTCTTGCGGTTCCATTTCTTTTGTGGATAGTAAGAAGCGCTGTCTTCTGGTTCCGTTTTTTTTTTCTGGATAGTAAGGATGTTTATCTTACTCTGTCTTCATTGTCCTCAAACCTCAAGTAGTCACTAATACCCTGGCTATGACAGCTTTTATCGTAGTGTTAAATGGCAGATTTATTTACTTGGCAAACATTGTCAAGTCTCAGAAAAATTACCCCATGGTCTTGCCTTCTTCCCTCGTGAATTGCCTTCCACTGATGGAGAGGATTTGATCTGTTCCCTGCTCATCAATTTTTCTAGCTTCTTTGGGATGTCCGCTCTGCATATCTACTAAGGAATTAAGAAATAATGGCTTCAGCAAGAAACAAGGCAGGAAAGTGCAGTGACATGAGGACCATACAGGGAAGGAGCTGTCCCCAAAGGTGAGAATGGCCCTGGACAAGGGTTCTTGCTGTGACTTCACTCAGACCAGACCACCTTGACCTTTTCATCACCGTGCCTCAGCGAAGTCAGTCGTTGATTCTCTGATCGGTTACTGAGATCATCATGAAATCTCCCTCGTACGAGAGTTGCAGAACTCTGCAGTGTCAATCATAGTGTTTGGGAGAGAGGACTTTCTACCTCCATCCTTTTTCTGAACCTAAATGGAATGAAAATTAGAACTGTTGCTTATTCTTTGAGGTAATTTCAAATTCCCTTATCCAAACCAGTGTTACAAAAGGACTCCAGTTTGCCCCCCAAATCGGTCTATTAAGAATGTAATGATGAATTTTCATCCAAATCCCACAATATGAGCTTTTCTAAAATAACTCTAGAAACAAATATGACAATATTCCAAAATTCCTGCCCTCAGACCTTATTTTGTATTAGAGTTATCTGTGTATCCATTTTGTATCCCCTGAAGCACGATGAGCCACTTGAGGCCAGGTACAGCCATGGCGTGTATCCCAGAGCACCTGTGAGAATGTCTCACAGACAGTCCGTCTCTCCTGAATATGAAGGGATGGGCACCAGCCGGAGCCACCATCCGTGTGACTGGCCCGTGGCCGCCTCCAGCTCACACAGAACCTCTGCACGCAACGGAAAAAGGTCTCCCCTGGGTGAATGGGGTGGGAAACGTGTGCCCCTCCAGGCGGCTGGTGAGCAGAGTGCTCCCCTCGGCAGGGTGTGACTTGTACAGCTCCACCACGGGCCCTGTAACAAGACAGGCTTCGACCCTGCCCTCTTGCAGCTCGTATGTATGAGGGGCAGCCCAATAAATAAATAAGCAAATCCATGCTGTCATTTCAGGTATTAGCTAGAGCTTTGGAGGAAAAGCAGGCTGAGGGGAGGGAATGACGGGCAGGAGCAACGCAGGCAGCAGGCCAGGGAGGGGCCGAGTCGGGGCCTGGGTAACAGGCAGTGCCATGTATAAAACGTTAAAAAGTGTGAAAACCAGTTTTACATACTGGGTAGTTAATATTTCCATCTTCCCCCCATTTTGGTTTCAGTTCATTCTAGGTTTCTTTTCATTTCCTGTATTTCTTCGACACTATAGTTTTGTGCTGGGTCAGGCCAGCCCAGGGTGAGTCCCACTGATGGCTGCTTTGGGTGAAGATTGAAGCCTCCCCTCCAGGGGCTGCAGCGCCAGTCTCTGTGTGTGGCCTGGTCACAGCACTCAGGCGTCTCCGACCAGCAAGAGTGTCTCGGGGACACTGGTTCTCCCCTCAGGCCTCCGACTTGCAGGGCCTGCCTGGGGGTGGCCAAGGGGATGCTTGTGTGTCCACACACAGTGTGAACACAGCATCTGAGGGCGCCCCAGTTTCCTCTGCAGACTTCAGGAGAAGATTCTCTAAGCAAAGTTCACAAAGAAGCAATAGGACTGAGGCAGGGTAGGGGAAATAGGTTGATACCAAAATACAGGGAGAAGTGCCCTAATGTGTGCTGAGGGTGCTTTGGAAAGATTTCAGGTGACTCAGCCGGGGTCAGGCATCTTGTGAAGACAGGAGAACTGCGGGCCTTTCTGCAGCGTGGACAGCAGGTTCCCTCTCCTGGGCGTTCCCTTGCCTTCGGATTTGGGGGGTTTCCCCTGGCAGGGCTGGGACCCCCTGCAGACAACGGGGACCTTCCAAAGTCTGGGAAAAGAAACCAGACCAGGTACTGGGACGCAGGTCACCAGGAGCCGGCAGCGTGGGGCCCAATAGTGAGGCCCTTCCTGGGCCTGTGGCCTCCTCAGTACTGTGAGGCTGCCAGGCTGAGAGTTTCTTTCCAATCTGAAGTCCTCCACTAGACAACTGAGGAGAACCTGCATCTGTGCGGGTCTCCTGGTCTCCTTGGGTGTGATGAGGGCAGAGACCCCCCTACAGGCCACAGAGGAGTCCACTAAGGCTCACCCAGGCCTGCTGCTCCAAGGACCCACCCAGTCCCTAGGATTTGTGCTTGAAGCCGCCACTGCCCTCACGTGCGTCCTGCCCACGCTATGCTCACACGTGTCACACGCCTGGCCTTCCACGCACGAGTGCTCCCACATGCTGAGAATTAGCCTGTTCTGTGAAGGGCCACCCGTTCTCGTCCGTCCTCCTGCGGTCGGACACTTGATGTAATCAGGGTTTGGAGACGTTATCAATAAGGCTGATAGACATTCTTTTACAGACACGATTTTTATTTCTCTTGGGTAAACACCCGGGAGTGTGGTCGCTGGGCAGTCGGGAGAGTGGCTGTTCCGTTTTGCACTCCCAGCAGTAGGGAACGAGAGTTCTAGTCACTGTGCGTCCTTCCCAACGTGCAGTTGCCAGCCTGTCTCTTTCTAAAGGCATATTGCTAGTGGGTATGAAATATACCGAATTTCTTTTTATTTTAAGCTCAATTCCTTTACGTGTTTTCTTCCTAGTCCCCAGAGTGGCTTCTGTCCCCGAACATAGGTATGAATGGTGCTGAGCACTGGACCACAGGGTGAGCTCCGGTGGGAGGGTTTTGGCAGGCCATGGAGATGAGTACTTGAATTAGGCCCAGATTGCAGAGTCAGGAATTGCTGGGTACAGCCTGTCTGCATTTTGTTTTGGCTTCAAACTTTACAACATTCATTTTAAGTTCTGAGGCCTTAGGTCCTAAGAAAATGTATTATCTGGAACAAATGCAATTGCCAAAGTCTACAATGACTTTGCTTTGTGCCAGACCTCCTGGAATATGCCCATTCCTGGTTCACAGATGTCTGTCAGGCCTGCCCAGGGACCAGGTCCCATGCTGTGGACTCTGACCCCATGCACGGAGCAGTGGAGGCTGCCTGCTCGGCCTGGCTGGCGTCTGCCCCAGAACCGTATCAGACGCCTGCTGTACATGCAAACACAGCGCCCTTGGCTCTTGGCAGGCCAGTCTCCGCTAATCACAGACAAACCTCTAGTCCAGATTGAGGAACATGTGGTACCACTCTCATCTTCCACACCCAGCACAGACCTCAGTGACTGATTGCGGCTGGTGCTGCTGTGAGCATGGACGCAAGCTCTGCTTCCAACAGCAAACTTCAGAAACCCACTTCCAACAGGGAAGGCTCGCCCCCGACAGGAACACAACCTCAGAAACCCACTTCCAATGGGGAAGGCTCACCCCCAACAGGAAGACAACCTCAGAAACCCACGTCCAATGGGGAAGGCTCATCCCCGACAGGAACACAATCTCAGAAACACACTTCCAATGGGGAAGGCTCGCCCCCGACAGGAACACAACCTCAGAAACCCACTTCCAACGGGGAAGGCTCACCCCCGACAGGAAGACAACCTCAGAAACCCATATGTCCAATAGGGAAGGCTCATCCCCGACAGGAACACAACCTCGGAAACCCACCTCCAACGGGGAAGGCTCACCCCCGACAGGAACACAACCTCAGAAACCCACTTCCAACATGGAAGGCTCACCCCCAACGGGAACACAACTTCAGAAACCCACTTCCAACATGGAAGGCTCACCCCCGACAGGAACACAACCTCAGAAACCCACTTCCAACATGGAAGGCTCACCCCCAACGGGAACACAACTTCAGAAACCCACTTCCAACATGGAAGGCTGACCCCCAATGGGAACACAACCTCAGAAACCCACGTCCAACAGGGAAGGCTCGCCCCCGACAGGAACACATTTCTATCTCCAGGCTGATGAATACTGAGACAAAATGCAGCACAGTCCTCCACACGTCCCTTTTGCTTTGGAGGTGGTGGAGTGACGCCCTTGATAACCAGCCTGTGCTGCCTGAGTGGCCCTTTGAGTTCGGGTCACAGTGTCAGGCACCAGCTCCTTCCACTCAGCTGTGCAGACTTGCAGTGGGTGCGTCTGTGACAAGCATTCTGCCCACCACCTGAAATTGATCAAGTCTTTCCTGCATATTCCAAGTCTTTTCTCTGTTGATGGAAAAACCAAACTCTGTAAAATATTTTAAAGAGGTTTCTTCTGAGCCAGTGAGTGACACAGCCAGACAGACACGGTCCCAGCGAGTCCTGAGAACGTGTGCCTGAGGAGATCGGATTGCAGTTTGGTTTTGACATCTCAGGGAGGCAGGAGTTATAGGCAAAGACATACAGCCATGCATGGCAGGTCCACACTGGCTCGGCCTTTGGAGGTGGGACACCTTGAAGGGGGCTTACAGGATATAGATGGATCCAGAGATTCTTTGAGTTCCTGTTGGTGAGAGGAGCAAGGCTCTGTCTAAAACTTGGAACGTTTAAGTTAAGATCCTGCTACAGGATCTGTAGCCTACAGGTGCAGCCTCAGGTCCTGCTCAGCCTGCAGGTGGGACCCACCCCTGCCTTGTGCGGCCTCGGGTCCTGTTATAATTCGGTATCCTATTGCCACCAAGAGTCTGCTTTGTCAGTCTTAAGATCTCCGTTTTAACATTACTGCTGGTCAGTTGTGTCTAAACTCCCAAAGGGAGGGAGTATGACGAGGCATGTCTGACCCCCTTCCTGTCAGGGCCTGGAACTCAGCTTTTCAGGTTTCTCTGGGTCCCCTTGACCGAGAAGGGTCATTCAGTCAGTGGAGGGGGGGATTCAGGGTTATGCTTTTAGTTCACACCTCCAAAACAGGAGGCTACCTTTTAAAATGAAGTAATCACCAGTGACGTGAAAATCAGAGTTGACTTGAGAACCAGATGATGGGTGCTTCCAAAAGGCTCAGACCTTGGCCCCCAACCTGCCTCCCATGCTCAGCACTCAAAGACCTTGGCCCCCCCACCTGCTTCCCATGCTCAGCACTCAAAGACCTTGGCCCCCCACCTGCCTCCCATGCTCAGCACTCAAAGACCTTGGCCCCCCACCTGCCTCCCATGCTCAGCACTCAAAGACCTTGGCCCCCCACCTGCTTCCCATGCTCAGCACCCAAAGACCTTGGCCCCCCACCTGCCTCCCATGCTCAGCACTCAAAGACCTTGGCCCCCCACCTGCCTCCCATGCTCAGCACTCAAAGACCTTGGCCCCCCACCTGCCTCCCATGCTCAGCACTCAAAGAGAAGGAGGGCAGGAGGAGCCTGGCCACTCCTGAGCAGCCTGGGAGGCCTTTCTCTAGGAGATGGCCAGGCGTGCACGGTGGGGTGTGGGGGCACCTGCGAGGAGACCCGTGCAGGCCATGCCTGAGACGTGCGGAGGGATGGGGACAGGGCTGCCTGTCAGCCCACCAGGCTGCCAGAGCACCAGGGTTTGTCAAGGGCTTTCTGCCTTCCCTGGGGCTGGACACTCCCTCCAGGCTGCAGCTGAGTCGGGGGCACAGCCACAGTGAGTGCTCAGAATCCCCCTCCTCATGGACAGTGCTGGGCGCTCAGTCTCCTGCAGGAGTGCCCCAGCCTGAACTCATGCAGCAGGGCTGTCCATCAGATTCACCTGACCCCTAGTCATGCCCGAATCCCTGCAGGATGGAGGACCTGTGGGAGACTTCGCTCCAGCTGCAGTAAGTCAAGGTCAGCTAGGGCCACGAGGGCCCCACCGGCCAGTGTCCTGGCCGAGGCTCCCAGACACCAAGGCCGCCCAGGCCTCCAGAGCAGCAGCCAACTGCCCCTCATTCCCCGGCCTCACTCACAAATAGCCTTCACCCAGACAGCCTTCGCCCTGTGCACCGCGGCTGGGGCTGGAGGGGAGGCAATGGCCGTCTCCCGTGTGTGCACTGGACGCCCGGAATCTCAACAGCACTCACACTGGAACTTGAAGGTGCCCCGGGGAAACCCACGGAAGCACAGTGGTGCCTCTGGCTGCCTGGAGCCTACCCCAGTTCCTCCCTGGCAGTGAGAGAAAGCTGCAATCACCCATCAGCAGGCTTTATTACAGAAAAGGAAACGCAAATTGGGCCTCCGCTCCTGCTGGGAAGCATGGGAACATAAGGTGGGAGGAAGATGGAAGGGGGAACAAAGAGAAACACTGCAGACCGGCTGCAACCAGAGGCTGCAGGTGCAGGGCTGAAACTGAATCATCGCCATGCCAGCAGGAGTGGCCTGCCTGGAGTAACCCACCCTTCCAGGGAGCACAGGCTGGGTGCCCTCCCCAGGGCCCAGGCAGGCCCCTCCTCTGGGTCTTGGGGCCCCGGTAAGAGCAGGAGTTGGAGAGGGTGGGCTCCTCGCCTCCACTTTCTCTGTCCTGTTAGAATTCTAAAGGGCGGGGCATTTTCTGTGTTAGGGAATGCTCCAGAAGACTTATGTGACCTCAACTTCAGCTAAATTTCTAATAGGAAAAGTTGGTAAGCTAAACAAAACCCTAAGCCCCCTAAACAACTGAAAGGGGCCCCAGAGAAACCTGAAAAGCTGAGTTCCCAGCCTCGATGGGAAGGGAGGCCCGCCACGCTTCATTATACTCCTTCCCTTTTGCAGCTTAGATGCAACCACGGACCAGCATTAGAGGTCATGGAGATCTTAGGACTGACAGACAGACTCTTTGTGGCAATAAGATACCAAATTATAAACAGGACCCATGCAGGCAAGGGTAAAGTCACACCTGCAGGTCATCATCTTGCTACACAGCTTCCAAATTTTAGACAGAACCTTCCTCCTCCAACCAAATGCAAATTAAAGAATCTCTGAATCCACCGATGTCCTGTAAGCCCCAGCTCTGAGATGTCCCTCCCTTTCAGGTCAAACCAATGCCGACCTTCTGTGCACGGCTGTATGTCTTTGCCTGTAACTCCTGCCTCCCTGAAATGTTAAAACCAAACTGCGGCCGGGCGCGGTGACTCACGCCTGTAATCCCAGCACTTTGGGAGGCCGAGGCAGGTGGATCACCAGGTCAAGAGATCGAGACCATCCTGGCCAACACGGTGAAACCCTGTCTCTACTAAAAATACAAAAATTAGCCGGGCGTGGTGGCGGGCACCTGTAGTCCCAGCTACTCGGGAGACTGAGGCAGGAGAATCTCTTGAACCCGGGAGGCGGAGGTTGCAGTGAGCCGAGATCGCGCCACTGCACTCCAGCCTGGTGACACAGCGAGACTCCATCTCAAAAAATTAAAAAAAAACTGCAACCCGACCTCAGGTCCTTTCTCAGGACTCCTTGGAGCCTGTCTCCCAGGCTGTGGTTGCCCCTGTTGGCTCAGAAATAACCTCTTTAAAATATTCTACGGAGTCTGGTTTTTCCATCAGCAAGTTTAACTCTAAAGTGGACATTGTTTTCCTTTCATAAAGGGCTGGGGCTTCCCAGATGATAATGAAAAAATTAAATTTAAATGTTATTTAAAATACATTTCTTCTTTCATTATGAAAGTAACAAATGGAAGAACATGTTTCCAAAGCCATCATGGTTTGTTAATTTTTAAAACCAATGAAGATAGGTTAAAAAAGTGAGCAAACATATTTTACATATATTTTTAACTTGAAAACTTATACATATTTACTCATTAATTTCTATAGTAAACTTATTGAGGTATAATTTTCATACAATTGAGAAAAGGAAAGAAATTGTGCTGAGGGATGATGCAAGTCCTTTTAAACGATCAGGCCCAGAGAGGCAGTCAAGTGAGGCGGCAGTGACTTCCCACTCCCCGCCTTGGAGCTGTGTATTCGTCTCTTGAAACGCTGGCTGTTGCCTCAGGTTAACCTCCTAGTGCAGCAGCAGACACTGCAACTCACACCCTACGGCTTAACAATATAGAGCCAAGCAATAGATTATGTTACTTTAACATAAATCCTTGGTCAACAACTTGGAACAGCCTCTTCTTTCCCTTGAAAAACCCACCTGTAACAGCTGCTAATAGGAGGTGTATTCAGGGCAACTTGAATCTACGCTTCCGGGCAGCAGTCCTCAAGCTTCGCCCAAACTCCCTCCTTACATGAATTTTGCCTCAGGTCTTGCCTTTGAGTCCAATTCAATGTGATGTTCAGTTTTCAGTCATACAAGTTGACAAGTTGTGACCAATGTAAGCCATGCATCCACCGTCCTGGTCAAGATGCATGAGGCTTCTGTGACTCCAGAGAGGCCCTCCCACCCCTTCCTAGCCAACGCCCCAGTCTTGGACCTCCAACCCTCCCTCTGGTCGTCATCACCATCTGGCCACTTCTCCATTCATGAATATTCCCACCCCTTCCTAGCCAACGCCCCAGTCCCAGGCCTCCAACCCTCCCTCTGGTCGTCATCACCATCTGGCCACTTCTGGCTCCATTCATGAATCTAGATATTTCCATATAGGGACAAGCTTGTATTTAGCATTGGTCTGCTGATTGAAGTTCTTCTTCTTCTTTAGTGTAAACCCCAGGCTTAACTCTCCTTCCTAGCCACCCAATTTCATATTTTTTAAAGTGGACCAAGAAGTTGGGCACATTTTAAGACAATCTAAGACCAGAATTTCTCCAAACGTTCACCAATTAGTTTTCATTTTTAAGAGTCATCTTGTCTATACCTAATTCAAAAGCAATTTTTAAAGCAGCCTCAAGTTACCTTGACCTTGTTTTCCCAAATCACTTATCTAGGTTTATGTAGAAACAACTTTCTGTCATTTTGCACTGATATGTAATAGGTTACATAATGTTGAATTAAGTTTCATGGTGTTACTGGAACAGGGTCTCAATCCAGACCCCAAGAAGGGGATCTTAAACCTCGTGCAAGAAAGAATTCGGGGCTAGTCCATAAAGTGAAAGCAAGTTTGTTAAGAAAGTAAAGGAATGAAAGAATGGCTACTCTGTAGGAAAAGCAGTGATGTCCGCTGCTCAACTGAATATACTTATGGTTATTTCTTGATGATATGCTAAACAAGGGGTGGATCATTCAAGATTTTGCTGGGAAAGGGGTGGGCAATTCCTGTAACTGAGGGTTCCTCCCCTTTTTAGACCACATGGGGTAGCTTCCTGACATTGCCATGGCATCTGTAAACTGTCATGCACTGGTGGGAGTGTCTCTTAGCATGCTAGTGCATTATAATTAGTGTATAGCGAGGAGTGAGGGTGACCAGAGGTCACTTTCGTTGCCGTCTTGGTTTCAGCCAGCTTCGTTACCATATTCTGTTTTATCAGCAGGGTCTTTGTGACTTGTACCTTGTGCGGACCTCCTACTCATCCTGTGACTAAGAACACTGAACTTCCTGGGGTTACAGCCCACAGGTCTCAGCCTCATTTCATCCAGCCCCTATTCAAGATGGAGTCGCTCTGGTTCAAATGCCTCTGACACTAGTAAGGATCACAGGTGGCATCAACAGGTTTGGAGCAAACCTGAGTGTCTCCCGGTTGGTCACATCTCAACTGACGAAATCCACGACCAGCAGAGAGCAGCCTCCTTGCCCCCTGTGCTCACTGAGTCATCCAGCCCATTTTGACCAAGATTATGTGAGTTGCTGGAGCAGAGGTTGGTTGAGGGAGCTCCCACTGTATGTAATCACCGTGTCTTGCACAAAATAAATAGAAAACACAAGAATACACTCTTATGCATGATCCTACAGCCCAGAGGCATCCACTTCCTACATTTTGCATATCGTTTTCCAGTGTCTAACAAATACTTTAATGTACTTACAGTCAACATCATTGCAGGGCTAGAGGGAACCATAATCTACAAAACTGTCCTCAATTCTTCACCAGTTACAAGGGTAGGGGTCTCCAAGACCACCCTCAGTTTTGATAATTCGCTAGAAAAACTCACTGAAAGCTGATATACTCATGGTCATGACTTAGCACAAGGGTAGGACACAGATGACTATCAACCCAGGGAAAGGCGCTCAGGCCGGAGTCCAGGAAGTTCCCACCTGCAGAGGGTCCTTCCCCACAGAGCTGTGGGCAGTGTCACTTGGGGCATCCAGGTGGGATCCCCCGAGCTTAGTGTCCCAGAGCCTTTGCTGGGGCCCCATGGTTGACTGCCCATGCGGATGGAGGTCTCCAGCTCACTCGAGGGTGAGCTCATCGCAACCCCTACCTGAATCACACTTTAGGCCTCCTGGTGTGGTCCAAAGGCCCAGGCAAACCAAGACCGTCCCATGTGGCTTAGAGACCACCTCTCAGAAGCTGGGGGAAGAGGCCAGGTCTCTCTGGGCAAGGTTCAATTCTTTATTACACCGTCATATATAAAGGATTTATTTTTCTTTCCAAAAGTTGGATTGCACTACACGCTTTGCTTTGCAATCTGCTCTCAGGCTCGTGGCATGACCGTGTGCCACACGCCGCTTTGTTCACTGAGGCGGACTCAGAATTCCTGTCATCGTCCTCTGCTGCTCACCTGGCCGTCCTCGGCACCTGGGTGGGAATGGAATTTGAACACTGGCGTGATTGTGGGTTGGTATCTCAGTCTGGGGTTCTAGAAGCAAACCCAAGACGAGGATTTGTGTGGAAGCAGTATAAATAAATGATGTGTTCCCTGGAAGACCCCTTTGTGGGAATGGGGGGTGGTACTGGGTGGGGAGGAGGCCGCACGCTGTGGGGGTCACTCCGGCTCCATCTCATGGAGGAACTGGGAGGCTGCTTGTCACTGCTCACAGGTGTGCCCTTTGGTTTGGGGGGTGCTCAGGTGCTCTATGTCTTATCTGTCATTCACTGTCTGAGGGTTATAAATTCCCAGACAGCGTAGCCCTCCAGGAGCTCAGCGAACCCCAGGGAAGAGGTTCCTGTGGCCAGAGGGCAGCCCCTGCAAGATTCAGAAGCCGGATGCTGGGACTGAGAGACCTGGGGCTCGGGGGCCTGCAAGATTCAGAAGCCGGATGCTGGGACTGAGAGACCTGGGGCTCGGGGGCATAAAAATGGTCAGTGGATACAGAGAAATGTGGGCAGAGTCCTCACGGCATCTGCTACGAATAAAGTCTGAAGGCGCCACAGCACTCAGAAGGGCCGGGTGTGATTCTCTCCTGGGTAAGTGTGTGCTCTCGGTGGGGTCAGCTGACGGAGACTGGGACAGAAGCTTAGTGGCCGCTCACCACTGTTTCGTCCCAGCCGCGTTCACCTGGGTGTCAGCTCCAGCAACCTGGGCAAGGATGGGGGAAGAGCATTCTGTCCCGTGGGTGCCGCATATGCTCAGGCCATCAGCTCTACCCCAGTGGGTGCAGGCTCCCTCCTCTGCACTGAGCACCTCGCCCCGTCGTCCTGAGCCCTCCATCGTCTCCACTTTGGGCAAAGGCCAGGGGCTGCTTGGCAGGGTCTTGAGCAATGGAAAGGGACCAGCAGGCTGATCGCTTTCCCTCCTCCCTACCTTAGAACAACTCAAGGTGCAGGGGCCCCGACGGCCTCCCTGAGACACCCTCATGAGCCATCATCGGCTGTTTTCTTTGTGATCTGTGGTAGCTCAAAATAAATACATAAATAAATAACACATAAACAGAGCATCACTCTGAATTTGTCCCGTTTCTTCCCTATCTCCGTGCCTAACCCCACTCCTGCTTCCCTGGGCTTGCGGACCACCCCCCACCCCCACCCCCACCCTCACCCCCACCCCTAACCCCCGACCCCCACCCTCACCCCCACCCCTAACCCCCGACCCCCACCCTCACCCCCACCCCTAACCCCCGACCCCCACCCGTTGTGCAGATCTGGCTTCTGGACTTCCTTCTGCTGTCCAGCCCACCACTGCCCAGCTCCTCAAGAAAAAGGGCTCCAGGTCTGAATCCTTCCCTCGGGGGCGGGATGTGTGGCTGGACCTGAGGTCAGAAGCGCGGCTGAGGCTGCAGACGTGTGCACAGAGTAAATGTGTTGAAATACTTTACTGCACGTGTTCCCTTTATACTCTCTTTTCACACTGATTTCAGGCCTGCAGTCTTTGTGCATCTTTGCTTACAGGATTTTGCCGTATTGTAAATCAGAATGACCCTGAAGTTTAAGCTAAGCCAGACTCTTATGGAAGAAAAAGCTAGGTGTCAGAGGTGGTGGGGGTGGGGGATGCGGGGAGAGGGCTTTTGGGAAGCGCTGGTCTAAAAATCTTTCCAGACACAACCATTTCTTACCTCCACCATCACCACTCTGATGGAGCCACTGTCACCTGTGACTTCTGTACCTGTTTTGTATGGCTGCCATGCCCCTCCCACCCACCTCCAGTCTACAGACAGAAAGGCACGTGGATAGATAGACAGAAGGATAGATAGATAGACAGAGACACATAGATAGATGATAGATAGATAGATAGATAGATAGATAGATAGATAGATAGATATGATAGATGATAGAGACAGATAGATGATAGATAGATGGATGATAGATGATAGAGGATAGGTGATAGATGATAGATAGATAGATGATAGATAGCGACAGATAGATAGATGATAGAGACAGATAGAGACAGATAGATGATAGATAGATAGAGACAGATAGATAGATGATAGATAGATAGATGATAGATGATAGAGACAGAGACAGATAGATGATAGATGATAGGTAGATAGGTTAGATAGATAGATAGGTGATAGATGATAGGTAGATAGGTAGATAGATAGATGATAGATGATAGATGATAGATAGATGATAGATGGATAGATAGACAGAAAGATGATGATATAGCTCTCCTTCTCCCGCTTTCTGTTCTGAGGTAGCAGGCCACACTCAGGAATGCTGGAATGTGGGTGTTTGGTGAAAGTGCTCTGTGAATGAACAATATACATGAGCTGTATCTATATCCAGTCTAGTCTCAACACAGCAGCCAGAGGTTTCTTCCAAAAATACATGTCAGCTCAGACCCCTCTCAGCTCCCGTCTCTCCAGCAGGTCCCCATCCAGCTAGGTCAGGAAAAGCCACCTTCACGATGGCTATGGAGGCCCCCAAGGATGTCCCGCACTCACCCCCAGAAGCTTGAGTGTGATGAGAGGCCGCCCTGAGGCACATTGTTCTCTGGACAGTTGGCCTTAAACGAGGGAGGTTATCCTGGTTTCTGGGGGAGCCCTGACAGCAGAGAGCGTCCTCTGGATGCAGGCGGAAGAGGGTGGCAGAGAGGACTCGGCGTGAGGAGGACTCAGGGTGCCCTTGCTGGCTTTGAGAAGGCGGATGCAGCCAGCCTTGAGCTGACAGCCCACAGGGGAGTGGGGCCTCTGTCCCTCAGCCACAGGGAGAAGTCCTCTAGCCCCCAGTGAGCCTGAAGCATGTTCTTTCCTCGAGCCCCAGACAAGAGCACGGCCCACTGGCACCTTGACTTTGGCCTATGAGAGCAGAGTACCCCGCTGAGCCAACCCTCTCCGACTGTGATAATACATGGGTGTTGTTCAAGCTGCCACATTGTCCGGGGGCTGTAAGAAATGAATACTGTGGTCTGCAAGTCCCCCTGACAGTCTCCCACCCTCCT
This sequence comes from Homo sapiens, assembly GCF_000001405.40. Lineage (NCBI taxonomy): Eukaryota > Metazoa > Chordata > Mammalia > Primates > Hominidae > Homo > Homo sapiens. Next base: position 132,046 of record NC_000007.14, on the reverse strand, counting down.
CCCTGGTCCCTCAGACACCCTTGTTCCTCCCGTCAGAACCACAGGCCTCATACTCCCTCTGCCAGAGGCCCTTCCCCAAAACAGAGGAGCGAGTGGAGCAGACAGCTGCCGGCTGGGTGTGTTCCAAGCCTCGGCGGATGCTTCAGAATAGAAGCGCCCACGCCGCTTTGCAAAGTGTAAGTGACCGCGTGGCTCACAAACAAGCCTGTTTTCTGTGAGTCCTGGCCCTTCCTGGAAATGGTGGGGAGGGTGGCTTGGTGAGCTGCCCACATGGTGTGTGCAGGAGGTGAGCTGATCACTGGGCCACAGGTGGCTGACGGGGGGCAGCCATTGAGTGGGACAGGAGTAGGTGACCAGCAACTGCAATAGTCAGGAGTGTTTGGCGAGGGCCTTCCTTTGGCTGAGAAAGGAGGCAGATGCTGAGTGTTCAGCAGTTTGGGAGCAAGGAGAGTCCCTTCTCCTCCTCCCCTCCCCTCCCTTTCCCTCCTGGGCCATGCAGTAGGACTGTGAACAGCATAGGAAATGCACACAGAGGAGCTCAGGACGCCCAGGAGGACCTCGAGGAGTACCCAAGCAGAGGAAGCTTGCACCCTGAGTCTGCAGTCGGCTGGGGTGGGGCCCCTGCACTGGAAGGAAGGCTGGGCCCCCGACCCAGTGGTGGCTTCAGGGCCTGGTGAGGGTCACTTTCAGGCTGCTTAGACCTGCAGCCTCCCCAGGTGGTGTGCTCAGGCAGTGCCTCTGGGCCGGCACAAACGGGAAGGTGCTGAGGCCGCGTCTACCTGTGGCTTTAAACACTGGCTTCCACCTGCTGGCCTCCGCGTCCCTCCAGCCGGCCGCCTGGAGCTCATTTTGTGAAGCTGGTTGTGTGTGAATTAGGTGATTCCCACTGTGAACAGTGGAACTCTTGCACATTCCTTGTGTAATTTTGTCCTTAGCATTGTGTTCACCTCGTGCGCCAGCTGCAGACCCTCTCAGGACCGCCCCAGAAATGCTGGCAGCTGGTGAGTGAGCATCTTCAGGCAGCTGTGAGCTGTGTGAGATGATTTTACCAATGCCAGCCTCATATCCACGCTCTGAGCATGTCTGAGGTGAGAGGGCTCAGCTATGATGCCCGGAAGATGAGGTGCATTAAATGCATTTTGACCTGGGGTATTTTTTTTCTATTATTATACTTTTAAGTTCTAGGGTACATGTGCACAACGTGCAGGTTTGTTACATATGTATACATGTGCCATGTTGGTGTGCTGCACCCGTTAACTCATCATTTACATTAGGTATATCTCCTAATGCTATCCCTCCCCTCTCCCCACCCCACAACAGGCCCTGGTGTATGATGTTCCCCTTCCTGTGTCCAAGTGTTCTCATTGTTCAGTTCCCACCTATGAGTGAGAACATGCGGTGTTTGGTTTTCTGTCCTTGCGATAGTTTGCTCAGAATGATGGTTTCCAGCTTCATCCATGTCCCTGGGGTATATTAAACTTACGATGGGTTGTCAGGATGTGGCCCCACCAGTCCAGGAGCATCTGGGCTACGATTATTTATTTTGTTCCTAGAATTTCTCCAGCTTGGGCATTGGGAGCTCTTGCAGACCCCGTCGACATTCACTCCCTGAAGCCTCCAAAGCCACCGCCCTTCCCTGACATCTTGTGCAAGGCAGGAGGTGTGCGGCCAGTTTCCACAAGGAACAGGGTCTCCTCCAGGCTGTTGGTCCCTGGAGAAGTAACTTTTGCAACTTTTGTAACTTTTCTGTAAGCCTAAAATTATCTCAAAATACACAGTTAAAAAATGAGTCAAGTGATGTCACCCTGGAATCTGCAGACGAACACTAATGATAGCAGCAACAATAATAACAATGGCCTTTGTTGAGTGTGGCAGGCAGTGTGCTGGCACCTCCTGTGCGTTTTCTCATCAAATCCTCCTTAGGAACCCAGGGTCTTCCCATCAGCATCCTGACCTTGTGCATGAGGCAGCGGAGCCTGGGAGTGCGGCGGGGCAGCCGGGGAAGCGGAGGCGTTCCAGGGACGCCCATCTCCGCCGCTGGCTGGCAGCCTTCGCTCTGTTAGCTCAATGTTTGCCTTAATGCACCCTTTAGAATCGCACTCCATCCTTGGAGCCTTCAGCAGCTGATAAAAAAAGAACCCTTCTGTGTACACATTGGCAACTCTACCACCCTATTCCCAGTGGAGCTCCGGGAGCTGAAAATAACCGCGTGCTTTCTGTTTCGTGCAGAAAAGAGGACGTGTGCACTTTATTTCATAACACTTGCCATTTTTGAAACTCTGATTTTTCCCACATGTATTTTTTAAATGTCCTTGGAGGAAAAGACACACTGCGGATTTTGCCAGCTTCCTCTTTTTTTGTAATCCAGCCCAGGTCTATGGGCAGGTCCAGATCTTCAGGGAAGAACTCCTGGCCACCAGATGTGAAGAACGACGGGAAAGAAAGCCTTGAGCCAACACAGATGGCCATGGGGTGGACTTGCCAAGAAGTGCCAGGAGACAGCTCCCTGGGGGTCCGAGGCCGAGGGCCATAGGAGGAATGCCATCCTCAAGGGCCCCTGTCCCTTGCAACCCAGGCCAGGGAGGAGCAGTGGCCTGCCAGGGTCTCTGCATGGCCTGTTTCCTGTGCAAGGAAAGACCACTGGCTAAGACAATCCAGGGCTCTGTGTCCTGAGACAGGAGCAAGGGTGGTCGTCCAGGGCTCTGTGTCCTGAGACAGGAGCAAGGGTGGTCGTCCAGGGCTCTGTGTCCTGAGACAGGAGCAAGGGTGGTCGTCCAGGGCTCTGTGTCCTGAGACAGGAGCAAGGGTGGTCGTCCATGGCTCTGTGTCCTGAGACAGGAGCAAGGGTGGTCGTCCATGGCTCTGTGTCCTGAGACAGGAGCAAGGGTGGTCGTCCAGGGCTCTGTGTCCTGAGACAGGAGCAAGGGTGGTCGTCCAGGGCTCTGTGTCCTGAGACAGGAGCAAGGGTGGTCGTCCAGGGCTCTGCCTTCCCTGAGCTTTCAGCACTGTCCTCACCCCGGCCAAGCACGGCCAACGGAGGGAGGTGTTTGTGTCAGGCTTCCATCTGCATGATGCTCACTTGCTCCCTTTTAACTGAGTTGAGCCCCACGGAGATGCATTTTGGGGAATTTCCAGTGAGCACAGAGCAGGTGGGTCATGGGAGGGTCAGGGCTGAGCACGGCATCAGAGGACGACCCTGCCCTCCGAGGAACACCCTCCTCCGAGGCCACCGGCAGGTTTTCCGGGTCAGCTCTCTCCCGAGGCTGCCAGGCTGTGCCCTTTCCCATCTTGCTGCACTCACCCTGGACCAAGGATCCCAGATGCTTGGCTGTGAGTGAAATTCCTAGGATTCAGGGCCAGGCTAGAAGGGCAGTGGGAGTGGTGTCTGTGGCTGGAAAAGACCCATGCCTGCCTCCCACAAGGCCACACAGCCAGGAGGTTAGGCAGAGAGGTGGGACGTGCCCTTCGACCCCAGTGAATCTGCGCAGTGCTGGAAATACAGCTTGGACTGCACAAACGTACACAGTTGGTCAGCCCTAGTCCTCCCAAATGGGACTGAGAGGAGACCCTCCCAACACCTGCTGTTACATCGAGGGGAGCCTCTTGCCTTGTGCAGTCACTAGGACTAGGCTGGTCTCATCTCCTTCAGTGATGCACCCAGCGGGTCGCACTGCAATACGACAGGAAGAGGAAATACACGGTAAAAACAATGACAACATAAATGCATAAAGTGAACACATTTCCTCTACAAAGTCAGTAACAAATTAGAAAATGTAATACGGACAAACTTAGTTCTGTTCTCAATACTAACAACCCACACATGAACTTAGCCGGGAACTGTATTAAGAACAGTATTAAAGCAGAGGCTTCATGTGGGGAAAGGTCCCAGGCTTGCTGAGGTTAAGACAATTTACCTGTGTAGAGACATGTCATCACCCTGGAGACAAAGGCTGATGAGCAAATAGACTAATCCTCCCCTGACTTAAGAACTTATAAAGTCGAAACAAAATTATATTTGGCCCTCTTAAAACATGCTAATGGGATTCAAAAGCTTATCTGGAAAGCAACTGAGCTTGAAGAAGCACGAGCCATTTTAAGAGAAGAATATTAGGAGGGGCATTCCCTGTCAGAAATTAAACCACAGTGTGAAGCTATGATCACTGAAAACATGTGGCACAACTGCAATCATCAATTATATCAGGGAAAACATAAATTACTCTTGAAAGAATTGGAATTTATGAAATAATTGTATGTGTTTGCAGCAGGGGTTAATGGTATCACATATCTCTAGAGAAAGATGTGTTCAACCAGTGATCTGTGATAAAAATAAAATATGTACAATAAATTAGATCTTCTCATATCATCTTAAAATATGACAAACTCCGGAGGTGCCCAGAAAACAACTCCAATGAATGGTCTCCCCCAGCCCCAGATGAAGGCAGTGCCCTTGGGTGGCCCCAGGGAAGAGCTCTCTGCCCAGGGCCACTCTGTGTGGGTCGTGTGAGGGACTCTGGGTCTGGAGCTGTGTCACCAACTACCCTTTGGACCGGCCACTTTCTAAAGGATCAACATCCACAGATTCAGCAGGGCTGGGTGAGGAGACCCAGTCGCCCACCCAGACGGACGACCTGCAGCGGCACACACCCAGGTGCCCACTCCTCTTGGGGGGAGTCCCCATCACTGGATCTTGTCAGCCCTGTGCCACAGAGAGGCTGTGCTGCTATTGTGCGTTTTGGCAGCAGAGGGTGGACACGTCCAGGGAGGGTGGATTAGCTGAGGAGCAGAGCTGGGGCCGGTGTCTCGGCAGTTCACCCACTCCCAGTCTAGAGCAAGAACAGGGTGGACCCTGCGATCCTCGAAACGAGAGTGTTTCCCTTCCTCAGACACATGAGCCAGGCAGTGGAGTTGGGATGTGTCCCTGGATGGTGGCAGGTTAGAGGGGTCCCCAGGCTCCCACAGGAGCCCAGGCTCGGGGAGGAACCCTCTGCCCCTGGCAGAATGGGCACCTGCGTCTTTTATAGTGGGAGCTGGGCCCAGGGAGGGACACACTTCCTTGTCAGATCTAAGACCCAGTTTCTGGGGGGACAAGGGTCTCCAGGCACCCAGGGAAGCTCTCCCAGGCAGAGCCCGGCCCAGAGCTTGCACTCAGGGGTACAGAAGGGATACAGGTAAGGACGTAACTGGATGGAAATTTGTGACTTCAATGCAAAAATTAGAATGTCAGAAAACCTAATAATTAGTAAGCTAAGCATTTGCTGTGAATCAGATAATAACTAGGAAAATTAATATAATGCACAATGAATGGAATGACTACAGGTAGAAGATTGAGAATAGCAGGTGGTGGCAGAGATGTGGATCAACCAAAACTGCTTCTGTTGGTCAGAGTGGATGTGAACTGTGAGGCTGTAGAATGATTTGGGAAAATTGTCTCTTCATATCTGTTAAAGCTAAATGTACGCCTAGCCTATGACTCAACAATTCTGCTCCTAGGTATATACCCAAGAAAAATCCACAAACAAGTTCACCAAAAGGCATGTGCAATACGCAGAGTGACACTATTCATGACAGTCTCCAAACTGGAAACAACCCACATGTCCACCAATGGATAAACCGTGGTCTGGTCACACCATCAAATACAACAATGGGAGTAAATGAGAAGAATGAATGAATCTCACAAACACAATGTTGAGTGAAAGAAATCAGACGCCAAAGAATGCACACCAAGTGATTCCATTAAAAACAGATCATGGAGGCCGGGCGTGGCGGCTCACGCCTGTAATCCCAGCACTTTGGGAGGCCGAGACGGGCGGATCACGAGGTCAGGAGATCAAGACCATCCTGGCTAACACAGTGAAACCCCATCTCTACTAAAAATACAAAAAAATCAGCCGGGCACAGTGGCGGGCGCCTGTAGTCCCAGCTACTCGGGAGGCTGAGGCAGGAGAATGGCGTGAATCTGGGAGGCGGAGCTTGCAGTGAGCCGAGATCGCGCCACTGCACTCCAGCCTGGGCGACAGAGCCAGATTCTGTCTCAAAAAAAAAAAAAAAAAAAAAAAAGATGTTATAATGTCATAATGCCAAAGCTCTGATCTCAGAGGTTATGGTGCCAGAAGCCATGATGCCTCAAGACCTGATGTCAGAAGTCATGATGTCAGAAGTTACGATGTCGTGATGTCAGAAGTTATGATGTAGGAAGTTACAATGTCGTTATGTAGGAAGTTATGATGTCGTGATGTAGGAAGTTACGATGTCATGAGGTCAAGAGCCATGATGCCAGAGCCCTGATGTCAGAATTCATGATGTCATGTTCTCAGAAGTGGGGACAGTGGTTATTCTTTGGGGAATGTTGATGAGAAGAGGCACTTGAGGGACTTCCAGGGGCCTGTAGCTTTTTATTTCTTGATCTGAGTATGGCTTACACCAGTGTTTTCAGTTTATGAAGCTCTACATTTATAATATCTGTGTTTTATAATCCCTGGGTATGCCACACACTTTAATTTAAAAGTATGTTTAGAGAAAAGGGTTGCAGTCCTGGCCCTGCGTGAGGCTCCTCATGTGATCTTTGACAGCCCCCTTCTCCCTCTGGGCCTCAGTTTTCACATCTGCAAAGTGACGATCTGCGTGCAGCTGAAGGAGCACGGAGACTTTACGTCTCGTCCTGATGTCCAGGAGGGTGGAGGCCCTCTTTCCACCGTGTCTCTTTAAGAGGGGTTACCAATGCACTCTGCCAGGAGCCTGGAGGGGAGCAGGGTCTCTTCGAAGCCCACCCCTGGGACAGTGGCCCACACATGCAGGATGCAGACCTCGGTGGATGCCAGCACAGGGTGGAGGGGCCAGGGAGGCAGAGTCAGAGAGGCCACGGGGCCCACCGCCAGCATTAATATTAAAGGCGGTTCTGCACAAATGATCGCATCAGGCCTGGAAAACAGAGCAGCCAGCTTACATGGGAATGTTCTCACCACAGTCAGCCGTGCAGAACTCTCGTCTAATCAGTACTATTGAAACCTTTAATTTCCCTTATTTTGTGCAAGGCGAGAACTGGATATCAGAGGGATTTCTCCCAGAATCACATCCGCTCTTGCCAGTGTCTCCCCTGGGAGGCCTGATGGCCCCGGTGTGTGAGTGGGAACAGCAGCCCTATCCTCAGCGTTTATTTCCCCTGTGGCCAGTGAGAAAGGATCACCAGCAAGCCCGAGCCCAACCGTCTGCAGGCTGACCTTGACTTTGACCTTGGACCTCAAGGGGCAGGCATGGGAAGCTCATATTCCAGGCGTGGGGCTAAGAGCAGAGGCCTGCTGAGCCCCAGAGCTGAGGCCCCTGTCTTTACTGGACCAGCCCGCACTGCCCAGAGGCTCTCTTGGTGCCAACAGTGAGAAGCTGGGTGCCAAAGGCTGCACCATTGCTGCCCTGGGAAAAAGCAGCTCATTTAGCTGAAGGACACCCTGGCCCCTCTTTTCCCACGCTGCTGAGCCCACTCTCTTGCAAGCTGCCTCCTCCGGGCATCACCAGTGATCCCCATCTCCTGAGGCCTCCTCCCAGCCTCGGGGGGGCGGCTGCCCCAAGTCATATTATAAACTAGCATAAAGCCCGTGTAGGACCCGGGAAGCAGGTCCCTGAGCCAGGAGTCCCCATCCCTGCACAGCATGGCCCTGCTGAACCCCAGCTAGCAGGGGCTGTTCCCGCCTGCGCCTGCCCCTTCCCACCGGAGGACACACCTGACAGTGGGAGCTGAGCTGCGGTTTCCTGGCGCCCGCCAGGTGGGGCTCTTCCTGCGTGTGCACCTGTCCTCAGGCCACCAAGGAGTTACCGTCACTGTGTCCATTTCACAGAGGAGGAGACTGAGGCTCAGAGATGGGAAAAGGATCAGGCCAGGAGGTGGGGGAGAAGGATCCTGTGACTTGAGGCCCGGCACTAGAGTCTGCCTGAAATCATCAGCTGTAAGATTTCGCCTCTCATGACAGTAATAATGATAATAATAGTAACTCATTGAAAATAACTTTATGGTCCTTTTCCATGTATAGAAATACAGATGCTCAATGAAAAAAAAAAAATCCAGTCTTCCCAACTCTGCAATGTGCGTTTTCTAGTCTAAAATCTAAGTCTCCATTTATTGCTTCTAAAATGCTCCTCAGGAGAGTTTTGCCGTTTCCTTCAACAACTCTACCTTTCTCACTGAATTCCCCACCATCAGGATTTTATGTGTCTTTCTGCTATTGTGAATGAGATTTTCCCCCTTTATTTTCCTGTTTTCTAAGTGGATATCGGTGACTATTGACTAGTGTTCATTTTGTTATGCTAAGTGCTCCTGTTTCTTACAGCCTTGCAGTTGATCCTCTGTGTTTTCCAGATCAATCTCAAACCATCTGCAAAATATGGGAATTTTGCCTCTTTCCCATCTTTGTAGCTCTTATTTCATGATTTTTTGGTCTTCTGGGGAAAGGAACAGGCTCAGGTAAACAGCCAGGCTGGGGCACCCTCAGGGCAGCTGCGGATCACCCTATGCCGTCCCTCCACCCCGGTACCCACCCCTCCGGGAGTGAAGGCTGCCAGCCGAGATGCACGGTTGCTGGGAAGTGTATGGATGAGGCCCACCCAGGTCTGAGGCATCTCACCCTCCAAGGAGCGGATACTGCCTGCCCCCAGCAGGGGAATGCTGGCTGCTGCCATGGTGGCTGTGGGTGTGTGGTGACCGTCCAGGCCTCCCTGGGTGCTGCTGGGATGGGTGGGCCTGGTTTAGGGTTGATTTCTGGGGTTCCGGGGTCCCCCAGGGGCAGAAGTGTGATGGCACATGGTTCCGTCATGGCTGGCTGCTCTGTGGCTCACGCTGTCTGCCTTTCCTGCCCTGGTGAAGTGGTTGTTTTGTGATGTATTATTTCATTGAATTATATTGGTAGATTTCCTAATACTGAACTTGTTTTAAAGTGCTTGGAAACCTCAACTGAAGCCGAGAGGTGGTCGTTACACGTGTGAGTCTTTAATCTGCCACATGAAGTAATGTGTGAGGACGTTATTACCATAGCTGGTATGTTTCATTTCATGTGTATGTGCAACTTTTCAATGTTTTGGTGCAAATATTATGCTGGAATCCTAAGAAGAACACAGGGTTTTCTTTCTTTATGCTCATGAATAGGAAATTTTAATCATATTGTAAAGATTGGTGCACCAGCATTTTGAATTAGTGAATTTGTGATTTATCTGGGCGTAGAATTTCGGAGGTGAGTGGGCTGGGTTTTAATAGATTTCTCAATTTCTTCTGCGGTTAATAATAGTCTGCTTACTTTTCTGTTTCCTTTTGGTTAGTTGGGGCAATTCATATTTGCCTGGGATAATCACCCATATTATTTAGAATTTAAAGTATTTGCATGGAATCTGTAAATTATGCACTTGTGTGTGCTTCTGTCGTAACTGTTTCCCATGTCGTTAGACTCGTGTGCACGTGTGTGTCCATGCCGTCCTCACAGTTCCTGAATTAGGGTAGACACAGGCTTATTCACTGGTGAATTTCAAAGGCCCACCACACGAGCACGCTTTTGAGTCTCCTGCTTCAAATCACACACTTTTACCATCTTATTTTCTTCTTCTTGGTTCTTACATTTATCCTGTTCTTTTTATTTTCTTGAGTCTAATTTTGTCAGTTGAATGAATAATTTACTTGTTTGTATTTGGTTGTTGCTAACGTAATTGTTATCGCTGTGAATTTTTCTCTGAGACAGTTTTAGTCACATTGTTCGGGTTCTGATAGATCATATTCCATAATTGTTATTTGTGGTGGTTCTGAAATTTGGACTCTGTTGTCCCACTTGACCCAAGAATTGTTCAAGAGGCATTTTGTTTGCTTACTTGTTATTCAGGATGTTAGGGTTTCTGCTTCTACAATTGCTATTATTTTCTTCCTTTTGTGGATTTTGGCTGGAGAATATGGTCTAAGTGTTCTTGGGATTTGACATAAGTTCAAGTTAAAGAAGAGGTTTCACGGCTTCTTGAAGAGAGAGGCATTTCCCACTCCAGGTGTGATGTACCTGTCAGGATCCACTGCTGGGTCTCCCGATGCGTGTTTGGGACCCTGGGTTCACAGAGGGCCGCTGAGGTCCCCACTGCTGCGGGCTGCCTGGTCATCTTCAAATGATGCTGGAATCTCCACTCACGTACTTACCTCCATTCCTAAAATAGTATCGTGTTTTTCCTCTTTATTGTTTGTGCTATTGGGGAGGAGCCTATTATCAGAGGAAATGGATGCACATCGGACACCCTGGTCTGGCTTTATCAGGTTCGCATGCCCTTTCTTATCACCGCCTTTCCCTGCCCTTCCCCTGCCCCTCTCCACCCCTTTCCCTCCCTCCTTCTCCTTTTCTCCTCCCTTTTACTCCGTCCTCTCTCCTTCCCTGCTCCTTCTCCTTCCTTCCTGCATTTCCTCCCCCCTCCTTCCCTCCTGCCTCTCCTTCCCTCCTCCCTGTCTTTTCCGCCCTCTTCCCTCCCTCCGTTTCTCTCCTTCCCTCCTCCCTCCTCCCTTCCTCTCCACCTCCCACTCCCTCCCTACTCCTCCCTCCCTCTTTCCCATCTTCCCTCCTCTGCTCCCCCAGCCCTTAGCTTCAGAGATCTGAGGTCCTGTTCCTTAGCACCTGGGAAAGCTGGCCCCACAGACCCTCAGGTTCTCTCCACTCACCGACTGGTCCCCTTTCCTGCCAGTGCCTCTCTTGGTTCCCACCCTTCTCCATGGGCAGCCAATTTGCTGTGTTTGACATCTTTTAGTTTGTATGTTTTCTTGAAGAATCGGCCTGACTGTTACGGGTACGGGAGTCACCGTGCTCAAGAGGACCCTCTGTGTGGCCGCGTGCTCGTCCAGGGCGGGGCCTGCCCCACTGCGGAGCCCAGCCTTGAAGCTGCCATCTTTCCACGCTCACACCGAGGGCATTCAGGTTGCCTCCCAGTAATGCTTGGTCCAAGGAGTCCCAGACCGAACAGGAAACTTTAATGCTGATTATACCACATTCATCTTTTTAAAACTTGGTTCTCACTTGCCTCTGATTTGTGCTGTTGACATGTTGTTTAAAAAGCCTTGCCTCGCTCCTTGGCCATGGTTATATTCCCTTATATGAGGTTAAATTTGTAGCTTCACCTGTAGGTGACGGCCATGCCTGGTGTGGCTGGCTGTTGAGGTGCAGGGCGCCGCCGTCCAGCAGAGGCCAGTCCAGGAGCAGAGTCCAGAGGCAGCCTGCAGCCCCTGTCCAGAGGCCCTGAGGGGTCCGGGCCAGGGAGGTGGCCTGGCTGCAAGCCCAGCAGAGCAGGCACGTGGGCAGGACCTGGCCGCAGTCTCACGGGGCGGGCCCCTCCTTCTTCCCCGACGCTCCCCGCTCCCTCCCCACACAGGTGTGCGGGGCTGAGCCCCCGGTGAGTGTAGTGTTTCCAGCCTATGTGCCGGAGTCACCTAGGAACAAGCTCCTGAACTTGCAGCAGAATGTAGCTGCGGACGTTTTGAACACACCGGGGAACAAGCTCATGGATTCACAGCGGAATGTCGCTGCGGACGTTTTGAACACACTGTGGAACAAGCTCCTGAATTCACAGCGGAATATAGCTGCGGACATTTTGAACACACCGTGCAATGTTCTCTTTCTTCATTCATCCTTTTGCCAATTTCCTTAACAAATATTGAATTTCCACCATGACTCAGGCACTCCAGAGTGAACCAGGCCAGACCCTGTGCCCAGGTGCCTGTGCCAGAAATAATTGGGCTCTCCTGGGCCTCTAGGTCAGTTTAAAGTTAAGGGTCCGTGCATCATTGCTGTTAGAAAATTCCTGGAAAAAGTATTTGCATGTCTTTGGGGAAGAGAACCAGAGGAAAGGAATGGGTTTTCTCCCTGGACAGTGAGTGCCCTTCCCTGCGAGTGACCAGGACCAATGTGATGTGGCTGGGGCAGTGGGGCTGGAAGAGGAGTGGCAGCTGTGTTTGTCACAGGCCTGGCTGAGGAATTCTCTGTGGCTCTGAGCCCTCGCTCCTGCTCCTCAGGGGCTCCTGGCCCCTCTCCTGCTCAAAGCTTGCTCCCCCAGAGGGTCCAGGCAGCGAGACCTGGGTGTGGGCCGGCCTTCCCTGCCCTGCCAATGATGGCTGGGTGGTGGCAGAACCCCCTAAGGCCCAAGGAGTTCTGCTCAGTGCAAGACTCATCATCTGGCCACACTGCAGGTCCGCAGGGGACAAGGCTCCAGGCACAGGAAGACCCAGCTCCCATGGCCTGGCCCCCGAAGGCTCGACCCCGGGGACAGACTCTGGGAAACTCTCTCAGCTGGAGGCTTTCCGTGCAGCTGGAGTTTAAACAGCCCAAGGCTCCGGGCTGTCATCTCCGCCCAGGATTAGCTGCTGCTGGAGACTTCCTCTCGTGGGCCCCGTGCTGGGGCTGTACAGCTTCCTACCTCACGCCATCTCTGTGGTCACAGGACGCTGAGTGGAGAAAATAAAACCCACGCAGGGACGGCAACCATCGTGGGGATACGTGGGGCTGCGCTCAGGTCTGCAGAGGCCGAGGCTGGACAGGGTGGGCCCTGCTTCCTCGTCAGCAGCGGGAGCCCCGTGACCCCCAGCACGCGGTTCAGAGTGGAGAAACTGCCGGGTGACCACGCTGAGCTTCCCCTTCCTTCCCCTTGTCCAGGCTCAGCAGGGGCTCTGGGCTGATCCTACTCTTCCCACTGGAGGGAGCCGTGGGTGCTGGGGGCTCTGGGGGCCTCCTGGCCTCTGGGTGGTCGTGGGCTGCTGGCTTAGGGTGAGGGCACCAGGATCCGGGCTCAGGGACGTCTGTGCCCGCCGTTCCCACTTCCCTTCGACCTCCCCCACCTGATTTCTTCTCTGCCCTCCCCTCCCTGCCGCTAAGGAGTCTTTGGCCTCTGCTGATCTTCTTTAAACTCCCTGCTGCAGCGGTTCACGGAAACTTCCCAATTACCACATGATGACACTGGCAATGGCTTCTCACGTTCTCTGTGGCCAGACTGTGCTCAACACTCCAACCATTATCTCGTTTACCTCAGAAACGTCCCTAAGCTGCGGGCAGGGGCAGTGTCGTGGTGACCGTTCCTCCCTTTTCCAGGCGACTAACCTGGGGTTCCAGAGGTCGGCCCTTCTTTGTCCTGGTGGACGGCCTAAGGCCGAGGTGTCCGACCCGGGACCGAGTGTCCCTGTCACAGGAGACTGGCTGACACCTGCATGCAGTTTATTCCAGCCAAGACAGCCACGCCAAAGGACCACGCCGACGGGAGGAGAGGTGGGTTGAGGTGTGCCAGTCAGGTGAGACTCAGGTGGCAACTCCACAAAATGCTGGAGTTAACAGCGTGACTCACAGATCCAGAGAGAAGAGGGCAGCCCCCTCGCAGGGCTGGTGGTGGGAACGGGGCGCTGTCTTGGACGCACACAGCCAGAGGGACAGGGGCTGTGGTCAAAGCCTTCACTGGGGTCCAGGGTATTGCCCAAGCAGGTTCCCACAGGAAGCTCTGGTGGGTGCACTCAGCCAGTGGGCCACAGCCCCACGAGGTCACACTGGAACTGGGAGGGGTCTGCTGTGGGACAGCTACACAGTCCTTGCAGGGTGTGGGGTCTGGGCGAGTCCTGTGGGCTGTCCCATAGCGGGGTGGTCACCAGGAGACGTCTGAGTAAGGCAGGTGTCTGGAGGGACCACCCTGAGATACTGGGGGAAGGCAGAGAACTGGAAACTGTGTCAAGGGTGACTGAGCCCCGATTCTGGGAGGACAAAGCCCCAAATGGGTGCTGAGGGAACACGACATCGTAAGAATTCCGCACAGACGCTTCAGTGCTGCTGATGAGAGAGGGCGTCAGGCTGTGAGCGTGTCAGAGTCTGGGGGGTGTAAAATTATTGCACGTAAATAATCAGGAAACAGCTGCCTAGAATAACCTTTATATTGGAAAGTGTGCTTTGAGGTCATTATGCCAGATTTTATGGCCATTTCTTGGCTGAGCCCTGGGATGGCTTATGTCTTTGCAGAAAGGCATCATCACATTTTATGAATGACAGATGGCTTTTACCACACCTTTGCATGATCGCTTATGGTAATAGGACTGCGGTGCCCTGAGACGTGGGGATCTGCGTGAGTGCCCCCGGCAAAGTCTGCTCTTCCGGCCTCGAATCTGGATCCCAGGTGAGGCCTGAGGGTTTTATTTCTTCCTCTGATCTCCCTGCCGGCGGGGCCACTGTGGCAGGACAATTCGGGGCCCCGCCCCCCAGATGTGCAGGTGCAGGCCAGTCTCGGGGGGATCGGCGGCTCCCGGGGGGCTGTGTCGGGGGGATCGGCGGCTCCCGGGGGGCTGTGTCGGGGGGATCGGCGGCTCCCGGGGGGCTGTGTCGGGGGGATCGGCGGCTCCCGGGGGGCTGTGTCGGGGGGATCGGCGGCTCCCGGGGGGCTGTGTCGGGGGGATCGGCGGCTGCCGGGGGGCTGTGGGATGGTGCCCCCGTCCCAGGGCTCCCGCACGGGAGGGCTTTGCACGTCCACCCCTCCTTTCCTTGACCAAACCCGGTTCTTATCCAGTCTTGTCTCTTCCTTTCTTTCTTTCTAAGCCCCCATGACCCAAGTCGGGGCTCTAGGGTGAGGGCTGCGTGTTCTGCTCCATGCAGCTGTCTGGACACTGCTGGACGAGGGCCTGTCTCCTGCGGGCTCCCACCCATTGTGGCGCAGGTTTACCCAGCCCTGCTTCACCAAAACATGACTTTATAAAGAAGAGTTATTTCTCAAACTGGGAGAAATCACTGCATTTGGTCAAACAATTATATATATATATATATATATATTTTTTTTTTTTTAACACAGAGTCTTGCTCTGTGGCCCAGGCTGGAGTACAATGGCGTGATCTCAGCTCACTGCAACCTCCGCCTCCTGGATTCAAGTGATTCTCCTGCCTCAGCCTCCTGAGTAGCTGGGATTATAGGCGCGCGCCACCACGCCTGGCTAATTTTTGTAATTTTAGTAGAGACAGTGTTTCACCATGTTGGTCAGGCTGGTCTCGAACTCCTGACCTCATGATCCACCCATCTCGGCCTCCGGAAGTGCTGGGATTACAGGGGTGAGCCAGCACGCCCGGCGGATTTATATTTGTAAAATCAGCTCTGCTCTGCTAAACAAATAATTAAAGAAAAGGTGAACACAAGACAGTGTAGACTGTTTAGGTGGCACCAAGAGAACCAGGGCCAGGGGTTGAGCCAGGATGAACACCAGGGGTCAAGGCCACAGCCAGGAGGGCCAAGGTGGGTGCCAGCTGTTGTGGGTGAGGCCAAGCCGGAGTGGGATCAGGGGTGACACTAATCCCTGGAGGAGAGACAAAGAGGGGGATGGGGGCTCAGGGAGTTGGGC
The DNA here is from genome assembly GCF_000001405.40 of Homo sapiens. Taxonomy (NCBI): domain Eukaryota; kingdom Metazoa; phylum Chordata; class Mammalia; order Primates; family Hominidae; genus Homo; species Homo sapiens. The sequence goes on along the minus strand of NC_000007.14, from coordinate 116,701 downwards.
CTTGAGGGACTTGCTATCTGATGAAAGGACGGACACGACCCACCAGATGAGGTGGACGGGCCTGGTAAGTGCCTGTCAAGGGTGGTGTGGAACAGAGAGGGGGCTCCTGTCTCACAGTGGGCAGCAGCCCAGCGTCTTTGAGACGGCGTGGAGATGGGCCTAGATCCTAGATGCTGAGAGGAGGCGTCCACACGGCTGAGGGAGGCCAGGCAGAGGCCATAGTGTGGGTGAAGGCCAGAGAATGGGCGAGCTCAGGGAACTGGGGGCCTCGGGGCAGAGCCCGGAGCAGAATGATGGGTGTGGGTGCAGGTGGGGCACAGGCTGGAGGTGTTGGGAAGAAGCCTGCGAGCCTGGTGCTGAGTGCCTGGCTAGCACCGAGTTCACCCGAGGAGCTCCTGAGTGTGGAGGGGAGATGGGGCTGGACCGGGACACTGGTGAGTCCATTCCTGGATGGGCAGAACTCAGCCACAGAGACCAGCCAGCAGGTTATGGGAAAGAGCCCCTGTGGAGGGCAAGGAGGGCGAGGGAGGGAAAAGGGTCTGCTTCGCTTTTTCCCGAGGACGTTGAAGGAAGGGAGAGGGCTTATGGAGAAGAGCAGGCCTCCATGTCCAGAGCAGGAATCCGAAAGTGGAATGTGTTTGCCAGATATTCTCTCTCCTCTGTCTCTCCCACTTCTCTCTGCCTGTATCTCTGTCTCCTCTTTGTCTCTCCCTCTCCCTCTCTGTCTCCTCTTTGTCTCTCCCTCTCCCTCTCTGTCTCCTCTTTGTCTCTCCCTCTCCCTCTCTGTCTCTGTTCTCGCTGCAGGAGCCCGTCCATATCCCTCATCCAGCAAACTCCATGGCCATGCAGGGCTCCTCAGGACACTGCAGTTGTGCCCTGTTTAAAACAATAACTGTTTCTCAAGTTTCTTGGAGTGAAGCCACCATGACCTTTGCAACAGACGAAGCCTACACTTTTTCCAAGTGTGACTCAAAGGACAAAAGGTTCATGCACAAGGCAGTTCTAAAAGTGGATGGGTAATTGCTGGTTCTGCTTCCTGTAAGGATTTTGTAAGATCACACCAAACCCACTCCCTTACAGAAAACAGCTTCAAAATCTGTACACAATGCAAACAGGCTGCTTGTGGGCGTTGGAGAGTGAACAGCAAGACGGACCTGGGGTGTACACGGGGGATAAAGGAGTTGCAGGAAGCACGTTCTCTTTGACCGTGGCTGTTAGCCTGAGCACTATGTAGTTAGGGCATGAGGAGCTGGGGGTCCTCAGGGAAGACCACAGTCTTCATGGCCTGGAACAGGAGCAGGACGAAATTGGGGAAGCTGTGGCCAGTGGAGGGGGGGAGCGTCCAGAAGGGGAAACTTGGCGGACTCTACTCATGTTTCCGACTGGCCCTGAACTGCACACACTCAAAGCAGATAAAAGAAGCCCAGCTAAAGGCTGGTACAAAATGACCTTCTTTATAATGCTGGTTGTGTTCATTGTTCAATATTAATATAGCTGTTCCCGCTTTTTTTTTTTTTGACTAGTGTTAGTACAGTGTATCTTTTAAAATCCCATTAGTTTTCATGTATTTGTGAATTTATATTTAAAGTGGGTTTTGGGTAGGCAGCAATTAGTTGGGTCTTGCTTTGTTATTAAGTCTGACAAACTGCCACTGAATTAGACCAATGGTTATAGATCATTTTCATCTACCATCACTGTTGATAATGGTTGGACTTAAACCACCATCTTGCTATTTGCATTTTATTTATCCTGTCTACTTTTTGTTTCCTGTTCCTCTTAGCCAGCCTTCTTCTGGACTGGGTATTTTTTAATCATCCCATTTAATCACTTCTGTTGGCTTATTCCCCATAACTCTGTCTGTACATATGTATGTGTGCGTGTGTGTGTATACATTTTAGGGTTTATAGTGTGCACCTTCAACTTATCATAATCTATCTTCAAATAATATTACACTACATCATGATGGTTTAATAACCTTACAGCAGCACACTTCCATTCCCTGCCCTCCTTCATGTCCTTGTGGGCACATATTTTATTTCTCTACATGTTCTATACCCAGCAAAACATGCTTTTCCTTCCTGTGCTTCTATCGGGTCTCCTATAATGTCATTTTCCTCTTGTCCAAAGGACTTTCTTTAATATCTCTTAGTGCTTATCTGCTGGTATGATTAATATTTTAGCTTTTATATGTCTGAAAAACTTGATATCTCACCCTGTTTCTACCTTTGTTGCCAGGTACAGAATCACAAATCAACAGGCTTTTCCCGGCAGTACTTTGCAGAGCTTGTTCCACTGTCCTCTAGCTCGCCTCATTTTCAAGGAGAAACCTGTCGTCATCCTTGTCTTTGTTCCTCTGTACCCAGCACGTCTCTTTTCTTCTGCCTGCTGTTAAGATTGTCTCGTTCTTACCCAGTTTAAGCAGTTTGGTTAAGATGTGCCTTCTTCGTACTTCATACTTTTTGGACTGGGATATGTAGCTTTTAAAAAGCAAATTTCAAAAGATTTCAGTCATTATGTCCTCCTTTTTTTTCTGTTTTTTTTTCTTTGTTTTCTTTCTGGGACTCTAAATGTATGAATTTTAGGCCAATTGAAGTTGCCCCCCAATTAGCTTTCTGCTCCTTTTGAAGGGGTCTATTTTCTGTCTGTGTTTCACTTTGGATGGTTTCTATTATATACCTTTAAGTTCATTAATCTTTCCTTTTGTAGTGTCTGTCTAATCTCATCATCTCATCCAGTGAATTTTCTTTATCTCAGAAATGGTTTCATCTCTAAAAGTTAGAATTGGGACTTTTTAATGTTTTTCATATCTCTGCTTAACGTTATCATGTGGAATAGAGTGATAATAACTACAGTTCATCTGTGTCTAGGAATGCCCTCATCTGTGCCATTTGTGAATTAGTTTCAATTTGTTGATATTCCTCATTACATGATGTGTTTTCCTGCCTCTTTGCATACTTGGTGATTTTTTACTGTATGCTAGACATCATGTACTTTTCCTTGTTAGATCCTGGATAGTTTTGCACTCCTAAAATTATTTTAAAACTTTTCAGGGATGAAGTTACTTTACTTGGAAACAATTTGATATATTTGAGGCTTGATTTTAAGCTTTTTTGGGTGGGGCCTAAATTAGTCTAGGACTGATTATGCTCTACTACTGAGGTGATACCATGCTGAAAAAGCTTAATAAGGAGAAAGATCAATCAATAAATATTCACGTATATTCACAAAATATAATGAGGAGAAAAATCAATCAGTAAATATTCACGTAACCCTAAAAAAAGTTAAGAAATGAGAAACAAAGGGGGGAACTGGAGGGTATGTATAGAGAGCGAGGCATAAAATTACAGACCCAGACATAACCATGTCAATACTTATTTAAATATGAGTGGACCAAAGATTTCAGGTAAAACGCAGAGGTTGTCAGAATAGATATGAAAACAAGACCCACACACATGCTGTCTTCCAAAATTGCACTTGAAGAACAGAGACACAGGTAGCTTTAAATGACATTAAAGTTAAAGCATAAACACTGGAAAGGGAGAAGAAGAACTGCCTCTTTATGCAGATATCATGAATCATGTATGAGGAAGTATCTTAAGAAACTTACAAACAACTAGCATAGGCACTGAGAAAGCGTGGTCTACTCATCAACCACAAACAGGAATGAAGCCCTAACATGCCACAATATGGATGAACCTTGAAACTGAAAACATGATGAGTGAAAGAAGACGGACACAAAGGGCCGCATGTTATATGATTCCAGTTATACGAAATGGGCAGATCTAAAGAGGCAGAACGCAGGTTAGTGGTGACAGGAGCTGGGGGAAGGGAGGAACAGAGAGTGACACCTCGATTGATGTGGTGTCTCCTTTCTTGGTGATGCGAATGTCCTGGGGCCGACAACGTGGTGAACGCACTGGATGCCACTGAATTGTGCACTTCAAAATTGTGAAAATAGTGAATTTTATAATATGTGAATTTTACCACCATAAAAACCAAACTATTAGTACAAATAAAATTAGTTTAGCCAAGTTGCAGCATTTAACTTTCATAGAAAAATCGATTGTATGTCTTTGCTCATCAATATACTACCGTGCCACTTATGGTCCTTTTGAAGAAATGAGACAGCTGATGCTAAGATTTACATGGAAAGACAAAAGGGTTAAAATATCCAGAAACAACTTTGAAAAATAAGAACAAGGTTGTGGGGCCCACGCTACTTGATTTCAAAAATTACTATACAGGTATGGTAATCACGACAGTGTGGTTTTGGCATCAGGAAAGACACAGAGGCCAACTGAGCCGAAGGGGAAGTCAGAAAGACCCACATTTATATAGTCCCTTGATTGCTGGTAAAGGTAAAAATTTAATTCTTTCAGAACTAGCTGTTTCAATAAATGGTGCCAGGATAAGTTGATATCTACATGGAAAAACAAAATAACCTTCAAGCCTTACCTCCCACCACATGCAAAATTATCTTGAGATGGATCATGGACTGAAAATTATTAGAACTTTTAAAGTTCTAGAAGAAAACATACAGAAGAATTTTTATGACTTGGGCTAGAATAAACATTTTTTAGAAACAAGATGTGAAAGCACAGATGATAAAAAATGATAAAACAAATTCAGCAAAATTGAAAAGGTTGCTCAAAATTAAACAGAGTTAAGGGAATGCAAAAGCAGACTACAAACTGGCAGAATAATTTTACAAAATCCACATCTGACAATGGGCTTGTACTCAGAATATATGAAGATATCTTATAAATCAATAATTTGAAAACTGCAGTTAAAAATTGAAAAGGACTTGGACAAATACATGACAAAAAAGATATATGACCCATAGGCACATGAAAAAATGATCAACGTCACTTGCCATCAGAGGAGTACACATTAAAAGCAGTCTAAAGTTAAAAAGATTGACAATACTAAGTGTTGACAAGGATATAGAACAATGGGAATTTACATACAATTTAAATTGGAATGCATGAAATTTGGTTGGAATTTTAAATGGAAATACTTTGGAAAATGGACTGACACTATCTAAGAGGTAAAACATTCACTTACCACATGACCCAGCAATTCCAATCCTAAATATTTACCCCAGGAAAATGAAAACATATGTCCACACAAAGACGTGGACACAAGTGCTCACACCAATGTTATTTGTAATACATCCAAACTGCAAACAGCCCAAATGCCCATCAACAGGCAAGTTGGTAACCTACGGTGCATGCATATTATGAGATACTACCCATTAATAAAAAATGAACAAAATATTAAGCCTACACGACATGGATAAGTCTTGAAATCATCAAGTTAAGTGGAAGAGATAGAGTACTGTTCCATGTCTATGAGCTTCCAGGAAAGGCAAAGTTACAGGGACAGGAATCAGATCACTGTCTGCCTGGGGCTGGGAGCTGGAGGAGGGAATCTAAAGGGGCAGGAGAACACTTTTTAGGAGAATGAAATGTTCCACATCTTGACTGTGGTAGATGTTACATGACTGTATACAACTGTCACATGAATGGGCTTTACTGTTTGTGAATGAAACCTAAACAAGCTAGCGAAAGAAACAGAAGGAGCATGGGCCGGCTGAAGCCGTGTCTGCAGGTGGGTGCTGGAGGCCCTGGAGCCGCGTGGCACAAGCCACAAACCTCAGGTGTCTCCCGTGGGTGGCTGGGGAAGATTAAGGCAACCCTCAAGAAGCCCACCAAGGCGCCACTGGGGGCTCCTGTCTTGGGGCTGTGTGGGGCCAGCCTGGGGAGGCGGGAGCCTCATAAGAGTCCCCTGAAAGCTACTTCATTTCCAAGCAGAGAAGGGGGTGGGGGTGGGGGGTGCAACACAGAAGGGTCTTGATGGAGAGGGTGTCTGCACAGCACAGTGATTACAGCCCAATCAGGGGTCAGACTTCCTTCGTGGACAGCCTGGTTCTCACCTGCATTCGCTGTGTGACCTTCAGAAAGTGACCTACCGTCTCTGTGCCTAGTCTGCTCTTTAGTAAAAGATGGCTAATGAAGTGGCTACCTTACTGGGCCCTTGAGAGAATGAGATGAGAGAATACAGGTACAGCACTGAGAGCAGCACTGGGATACAGTAGGTGTTCATAAATGGCACCTGCTATCATTATTAGTGATCTAGGAATAGGACCTTAGCTTAAACCCCACTGTGAGAAAAAGGGAAAAGCAAGGAGGAGAGGCTTGTCCAAGGCAGCAATCCCATCTTCCAGACACCAGGCCAAGAGTTCTGGAGCCCGAACACAGGCGTGGCAGAGAGCCTTTGCTGCCCTTCCCCTGCCCACGGGGCGGAGGGGAGATCTCGGGCCCCACAGCTCCTGAGCAGGGCTCGGGGGTCACCCTCAGTGCTGGCAGGGAGTGCGGAGTTGCTTTGACTCACTCAGGAGTAGGTTTGAGCCCTGGTTCCTTTCCTTATCACTCAGAGGCCGATGGCGCAGTAGCTGCCTGAGGAACACACAGCCTTTGCAAGTCTTTGGGAAACAGGAGAACTGTCTTCCTTTGTCCGAGAAGCACTCAAGCTGACGGACAGTGGTGCTGCTACTTGCTGCTATTTCTCTCCAAACTTTGGGACTGCGGCCACAGCGGCGGCCACAGCTGTTATTCCTTGTGTCTGCCAAGGGTCTGAGAGTGGCCTGGCGATTCAGCTGTTCCCTGCCCACAGCCCACCCTACGGGATGGGGCCAGTGATGTCGGATCCCTGGTGGTCCTGGTTCTGGCTATCGCTGGAGGGGACACAGACTCCACCTGCGTTGAGCGTGCCGCTCCCTGTGTTCTCCATCTCCATGTTCCCACCTCTTCCTGCTCTTTTCCCCGTGCTTTCAGCTACCTAAGGGTCGCCACTTACCGTCCCTGCAGAGTGCAGAGATTTCTCTTTGAAGAAAAGGTTCTGGAGCAATCAGAGGGGTGAGTGTGGATGCAGCCAGCCCCAGCCCTATGCTGCTCCTCAGACTAATGGTGCTGAAGGCTAAGAGAACGAATAAATGGTAGTGAGCGTTTTTCTCATTAGGGTTTTAAAATCCTCCAAGTAATAGATCATTTTGTAGCATCTTACATGTCCTGCTTATCCTAATAATGTGTTATTACTGAATCTCAATAATTTTAATGGGGAAATTCTTTATCTTAAAAAATGTGAAGTGGCTATCCATTTAAAAAGTGTTAACGAGGTAACTCCAAGGGTTTCAATGAACAAGGAGGCCCATAGCTGTAGTGACCCAGTGCCTTCGTGTTTTAGACACTAGCTGAGATCTGCACACTGGAGCCATGGCCGTGGAGGGAGCAGTGACCAGGACCTGCCTCCCGCAGTTGGGGGCCTTTGGTGCTCAGCCCAGGCTTCTGTGCTGGGATGCAGGGCCAGTCTGTTCACACAGACCAGGATAGGCCCTGGACGCGTGCACAGACAAACCCCCACAGGGGTTCATTTTATCTGGGGTGTGGCAGGGAATCATGAGCTGAACAGAGATGCTGGATGCCGAAAACAGCCTCTGTCCCTGCCTCTCTGCCAGCGCTTGCTGTTTGCCTGGAAACAATCCCTCTCCTTCCTTGGCTGCAGTTTTCTCACCCATGAAGACGTGTTCAATGCAGACGTACCGAGTTTCCTCTGGGTCTTCCTGGTTGCCTGGCGTCTCCAAGTGCTCATTTCTCTTCCTTGCTCTTGCCCACCCCACGGGCCCTTCCCCCGTGAGCGAGCTTCACAGACACACACAGACACTAGTGGTTTGGGGTCCTTAGTTGAGGCCATCTTAACTGGCTTCCCTCACCTCCCGAGTGGCAGGCTAGGAGGAAGCGGTGGTTTATTACAGGGACAGATCACACTGTGCCAGGGAAGGCCAGGAAAATATATTCCCATTTTACTTCCTCTAATAATCTCCTATTTTCATCAGTGGGTGAGTGAACATGGCTTCTTCTTCCCAATGATGGTGCAAATGTATAATTTCTCCCAATGAAATCTGATTTTAATGAGAGACTAAATCAGAGGAAAGAGTATTATTTAGATAGTATATGCACATGTCAGGTTAATTTAAAATCAGCTTTTAGGTCAATCTATCTTAATTATTCTATTAACCGTTTTTGACTAGCAATTCCAATAATTGTGTTTGCGTAATACTTGGCAGTGTAATTGCTTTTTGGATTCTCTTCATTGTTTTGTCAGAGTCTGTTCCTGGGCCTCTGTCCCTGGTGAGCTGTGCTTGGGTTGAGTGTGTGCTTGGGTTGTGTATGCACATTCGTGCAACTGCACATGTGCTTGGGTTGAGTGTGTGTGTACAAGTGTGTGTGTGTGCACATGCTTGGGTTGAGTGTGCAGATGGACGTGCATGTGCATGCATACCTGGGTTGTGTGTGTGTGCACATGTATGTATCTGCTTATGTGCTCTAGTTGAGCATGCATGGGTGTCTATGTGCACATGTGCTTGGATGGAGTGCATGTGTACATGCACATATGTGCAGAAGTGCTTGCATAGTGTGTGTGCATGGGTATCATGTGCATGTGTGCTTGGGTTGAGTGTGTGTGCACATGTGTACATGGGTGCATGTGCTCAGGTTGAGTATGTGCATGTGCACACGTGTTTGGGTTGACTGCATGGGCATGGGCATGCAATGCATATGTGTTTGCATCATGTGTGTGCACAGAAGTGCATGTGCTTGCATTGTGTGTGCATGGGTATGCATGTGTGCACGTGCTTGTGTTGAGCATGTGTGCATGTGCTCAGGTTGGGTGTGTCATGGGTGTAAGGTGCACACGTGTTTGGGTTGACTGTGGGCACAGATGCACACATGCATGCATGCTTGGGTTGAGTGTGTGTGCACAGGTGTGCATGTGCACATGTGCTTGGGTTGAGTGTGTGCCTGGGTGTCATGTGCACGTGTGCTTGAGTGTGTGCATGGGTGTCATATGCACATGTGCTGGGGGAGGTGCTTCCCTGATTATTAATGAATGTATTTTCATGGGGTTTATTGATATCAAGGACCCCTGTCTTTATTTTTTATTTTTAAAATAAACTTCATTTTAGAACATTGTTAGATATAAAGAAAAATTGTGATGATAGCACAGAGTTCCTGTATACTCCACACCCAGGTTCCCCTACTCTTACCCTGTCACATTATACTGTACCTTTGTCACAGTGAATTAGCCCATGTCGATACAGTAGTAGGAACTAAAGTCCATACTTTATTCACATTCCCTCAGTTTTCCCTTAATATCCATTTTCTACCTCAGAATCCAAAGTATGATGTTACAGTTGGCCCTCATGTCTCCTTAGGGCCCTCGCAGCTGTGACAGATTCTCAGACTTTCCTTATTTTTAGTGATCCTGACAGTTTTGAGGAGGACTGGTTGGGTATTTTGTGGAATGTCCCTCATTTGGGACTTGTCTGATCTTTTTCCTGTGATTAGTTTGGGGTCACGGGTTGTGGGGAGGATGGAAAGTGACCTTCCCACAGCATCACACCAACGTCCTTGCTGTCTGCGTGACTTGTCACCGGTGATGTCAACCTCGGCGATGTGGCTGAGGCAGAGGTTTCCAGTTTTCTCCACTGTAAAGTTGCTCTTTTTCCCTTTTCATACTGTATTATTTGGAAGGAAGACACTCTGCAACGCTTATACCTTTAATTGTTTATTGATGCATAACATTTTACATATTTATGGGGTGCATGAGATATTTGGATACGCGCATGCCATGTGTAATGATGGAATTGGGGTATTTAGGACGTTCATCACCTCGAACGTCTATCCTTTCTTCATGTTGGGAACATTTCAAATCTTTTCTTCTCGCTATTTCAAAATATACAGTATGTTGTTGTTAACTATAATCCCCTCACTGTGTTATCAACACTAGAACTCACCCCTCCTACCAAACCGTTTATTCGTACCCATTAACCACCTTCTCTTCATTCCCTCCACCCGCCCCCCACTATTTTTTAAACAGCTTTACTGGGTTATAATTCACATACCATGCAATTCACCCATTTAAAGTGTACAATGGTTTTCAGTATATTCACAGAGTTCTACAGCCATTACTACAGTCAATTTTAGAAAATTTTCACCACCTCAAAAAGAAACTCCACACCCTTTAGCTACTCTCAGCCACCAGCCCTGCCCCCACCCCCAGCCCTAAAGAACCACAAATCCTCTTTCTGTATCTATGGGTTCTGCACGTTTCTCAAAATGTAAACATATAGTGCGTGGTCTTTTGCGACTGGCTTCTTTCACTTCGCATAATGTTTTCAGGCTCATCCACCTTGTAGCCTGTGTCAGCACTTCATTTCTTTTTTCTTTTTCTTTTTTTTTATAAGTACTTCATTCTTTTTCATGGCCAAATAACATCCTGTTGTACGGATACACCACATCTTCTGTAGCCATTCGCCAGTCACGTGTATCGGGGCTGTTTCCATTGTTTGGCTTTATGAGTGGTGCTGCTACAAACGTTTGTGTTCAAGTTTTTATTTGGATGTACTTTTTTGTTGTTTGTTTGTTTGTTTTGAGACAGTCTCGCTCTGTCGCCCAGGCTGGAATGCAGTGGTGCGATTTCGGCTCACTGCAACCCCTGCCTCCTGGGTTCAAGCGATTCTTCTGCCTCAGCCTCCCGAGTAGCTGGGACTGCAGGCATGTGCCATCACGCCCAGATAATTTAGTATTTTTAGTAGAGATGGGGTTTCTTCATGTTGGTCAGGCTGGTCTCGAACTCCTGACCTCGTGATCTGCCTGCCTCGGCCTCCAAAAGTGCTGGGATTACAGGCATGAGCCCCTTAGCCTGGCTGGATGTATGGTTTTAATTATCTGGGACGCACACCTAGGGGGGGATTGCTGGGCCATGTGGTCACTCTATGTTGAACTCATTTTCAGCGCCTTTTCATTGTTTTTGTCTGCACTATTTTCTTTCCCAAAGAAGGTTCCTGTTTCTTAAGTCCTTGTCAAGACTATTTTCTGTCTTTTTGAGGATCACCCTCCTAGTGTATGAGGTAGCATCGCCCTGTGGTCTTGATTTGCTTCTTCCTAATAACTAATGATGTTGAGCATCTTTTCTTGCACTTACTGGCCATTCGTACATCTTCTTTTGAGAAGTGCCTATTCAAATCCTTTGCCCATTTTAAAATGGGGTTAATAACCCTTATTTTATTTGAGTTTTAAGTGTTCCTTACATATTCTGGATATGAGTCCCTTATCAGATACAGCAGGTCCCATTTACCTGGTGTCCTGGTTTCCACAGTTTCAGTTACCTGTGGTCAGCCATGGCTTGAAAATACGACATGGAACTGTGCATTGTTCTGAGTAGCACAGTGAGACCTTGCTCCAGCCCAAGCTATCCCTCCCAGCTGTGAACCATCCCTTTGTCCACTGTATCCACACTGTATAGACTGCTCCTTCCTTAGTCGTTACACTGTCTGCTCCTGACATCCAGCCATTGCTCATCATGGCTTGGTGATCCTCCTTCCGATCATTCATCGGAAGGTCAACAGCATCCTAAGACAATGTCACAATGCCTGCGTGATTCACCTCACCTCACCTCACCTCCTCCCGGAGGCAATTCCGTCATCTCACATGATGACAACAAAGAGGGGTGAGAACAGTACAATAAGGTATTTAGAGGGGTGAGTACAGTACATTAAGGTATTGAGAGAGAGAGCGATAGAGAGGTCACATTCACATAAGTCTTATTACGGCATATTTTTATCATTGTTCAATTTTATTATAGTTATCCTTGATAATCTCTTCCTGTGCCTAATTTATAAATTAAACTTTATCACAGGTATACATATATGGGAAAAAACAGTATATACAGTGTTTGGTAATCTCTGTGGTCTCAGCCATCTACTGGGGGCCTTGAGATGTATTGCCTGCAGATAAGAGGGGATTACTCTAGAAGATTTCCTAATATTTTCTCCTTTTATGTGGGTTATCTTTGCACTTTCTTAATGGCATTGGTTGTAGCACAGAAGTTTTTAATTTTAGTGAAGTGTCATTTATCTCTCTTTTCTTTTATCACTTGTGCTTTTGGTGCCATATTGAAGAAATCATTGCCAAACTCAGGCCATAAGGATTTCCTCCTATGTTTTCTTCTAAGAGTGGTTTTGTATGAATCCATTAATATGCTGTATTACATTGATTGGCTTTTGGATATCAAATCAACCTTGTGTTCCTGGGATAAATCTCATCTGGTTTTGCACATAATTCTTTTTATATGTTGCTGGATTTGATTTGCTAGTATTTTGTGGAGGATTTTTGCATTTATATTCTTAAGGATATTGGTCTGTGGTTTTCTTGTAATGCCTTTCATCTCAAAGTATTTTCTAATTTCCGTTGTGATTTCTTCTTTGATCTGTTGGTTATATAACAGTGTGTTGTTTATTTTACACATTTTGGTGAATTTCTCAAATTTCCTTCTGTTATTGATTTCTAACTTAATTCCATTGTGGTTATGGAGCCCACTTTGTATGATTTCAGTCCTTTGAAATTTATTGAGACTTTCTCTGTGGCCCAACATGTGGTTCTTCCTGGAGCAAGCTCCAGCACACTTGAGAAGTGTGTGTGCTCTGCGGTTGCTGGGTGGAGTGCTCTGCGGATGTGGTTGCTGGGTGGAGTGTTCTGCAGATGCGGTTGCTGGGTGGAGTGCTCTGCGGTTGCTGGGTGGAGTGCTCTGCGGATGCGGTTGCTGGGTGGAGTGCTCTGCGGATGCGGTTGCTGGGTGGAGTGCTCTGCGGATGCGGTTGCTGGGTGGAGTGCTCTGCGGATGCGGTTGCTGGGTGGAGTGCTCTGCGGATGCGGTTGCTGGGTGGAGTGCTCTGCGGATGCGGTTGCTGGGTGGAGTGCTCTGCGGATGCGGTTGCTGGGTGGAGTGCTCTGCGGATGCGGTTGCTGGGTGGAGTGCTCTGCGGATGCGGTTGCTGGGTGGAGTGCTCTGCGGATGCGGTTGCTGGGTGGAGTGCTCTGCGGATGCGGTTGCTGGGTGGAGTGCTCTGCGGATGCGGTTGCTGGGTGGAGTGCTCTGCGGATGCGGTTGCTGGGTGGAGTGCTCTGCGGATGCGGTTGCTGGGTGGAGTGCTCTGCGGATGCGGTTGCTGGGTGGAGTGCTCTGCGGATGCGGTTGCTGGGTGGAGTGCTCTGCGGATGCGGTTGCTGGGTGGAGTGCTCTGCGGATGCGGTTGCTGGGTGGAGTGCTCTGCGGATGCGGTTGCTGGGTGGAGTGCTCTGCGGATGCGGTTGCTGGGTGGAGTGCTCTGCGGATGCGGTTGCTGGGTGGAGTGCTCTGCGGATGCGGTTGCTGGGTGGAGTGCTCTGCGGTTGCTGGGTGGAGTGCTCTGCGGTTGCTGGGTGGAGTGCTCTGCGGATGCGGTTGCTGGGTGGAGTGCTCTGCGGATGCGGTTGCTGGGTGGAGTGCTCTGCGGATGCGGTTGCTGGGTGGAGTGCTCTGCGGATGCGGTTGCTGGGTGGAGTGCTCTGCGGTTGCTGGGTGGAGTGCTCTGCGGTTGCTGGGTGGAGTGCTCTGCAGATGCGGTTGCTGGATGGACTGCTCTGTGGTTGCTGGGTGGAGTGCTCTGCGGTTGCTGGGTGGAGTGCTCTGCAGATGCGGTTGCTGGGTGGAGTGCTCTGCGGTTGCTGGGTGGAGTGCTCTGCAGATGCGGTTGCTGGGTGGACTGCTCTGTGGTTGCTGGGTGGAGTGCTCTGCGGATGCAGTTGCTGGGTGGAGTGCTCTGCGGTTGCTGGGTGGAGTGCTCTGCGGATGCGGTTGCTGGGTGGAGTGCTCTGCGGTTGCGGGGTGGCGTGCTCTGTGGTTGCTGGTGGCGTGCTCTCATGCTCTGCAGATGCCGGCCAACTGATCCAATCTGACATTTCTTTGTTGATCTTTTGCCTACTTGTTCTACTCATAACGAAAGTGTGTTATTGAAGTCCCCAGTTTGTTGCTGAACCGTAGTCTTGCCTTTTTCCTCAGACTTAGAATCTGTGTCGAAACTTCTTGATGGGAAACATGTGATTGGCTCTCAGGTCTCAGCCTCTGCTCTCCCCATTACATGCCTGGAACATCCTGAGGGAGCTCAGAGCAGACAAGGCCCCGGCTTCACGCTTCAGATATGCTTCCATTACTCCCACCTTATAAATGAGGAACTGAAGGGCAGAGGGGTCCAGAGCACTGCTGAGGACAGCTGGCTGGCTCAGAGCTGGACTCGAACCTAAGGCAGCTCAGTCTCAAATTTATGCCCAGCGCCATGTTGGTGCATGCCCTCCTGGGGTAGCCAGAGAGTGTCATGATTACACCAGAGATGAAGTAGTCGGAATATGGACCCACTCCTAAGCTGCTGTGTGGGCTGCTGTGTGGGGAGTTCCAGAAGCGCACACACCAGTGGAAAAATTAAATGTGGATTTTTATGGTATCCCATCTGGCTTCTGCCACCTCCCAGGCGTGGATCTGCTCACAGCCAAGTGACCTCCCATCTGCAGGCTTCTCCCAACGCGGCTCAGTGGTGCCTCATCTGGACCACGAGTCCTCTCCACCCCAGGTGCGCTTCCACGGATGCCCTTGGACTCTCCTGCCTGGTCTTCCCACCGCTCACCCTGGCCTCTCTCCAAAATCCCCCATGGCTGCCTTTCTCTATCATCTGGCCTCAAAACCTCAGTCATTCATTCAAAGCCCTTTGTAATCCAGACCTGACTTGGGTCACAAATCAGCAAGTGTATCCATGACACCAGTGACCCTCAGGCCCCACTCTGTGGCTTTGGTGAGTGACAGATGACTGTTGAGTGACTAAGCAATGGTGCAATTGAAATTCCAGGGAATGAGACCCATTTGGAATTTCCTGAAGAAACAAACCCCCAGGCACAGGAAAGAGGCATCCGTGCATGTTTGGCTCCCTTTTGCCTTGAAATCCACGGAGCTCCGAGGCTCTTTCCGGCATGCTGGCTGTACACAGGGCCTTTCAAGGGCAAGGAGTCCTCAGCTTTCTGGGTCTCCTTAATGAGCCTGAGGCCTGCTGCCTGCAAGTGCGGCCCCTCTGTGCTTTTGCTGGCTGTTTGTGAAGTCAGCCCTGCCTTTAATAGGCCTGCTTGCAATTAACATGGAATATAATACTGAAGAAAATGCTGTAAAGCACTTGGCCTCTCAGGAGCATAACACTAAATGTTGATGCTCAAAGGCACTAAACAACGTGCATAATTAGGCAAATAACTCTCCCCTAGTTTCCAATGCAGAGAAAGGAGGGAAGTTAAGGAGGGTGTGTGTTCAAGCCTGTTGGATCAGTGATGCTAGGGAGAGGCCTGGAGCTGGCTTCCTAGGGCCCAGGGTCCCGTGAATGACTGGGGTGAAGCAGCCTTGCCATGTGCCTTTGGAACACCCTCAGGGAAGGGTCACAGGGAAAGGGCACACCTAGGTTCCTCAGGCAGGTGCAGCTTACAGCTTTCCAGGCTGATCTCTATCCCTGGTCAGAAGGGAATGGCAGACCCAGAGAGGAAACAGACCTGCCCAGGCCCGCGGAGATGGAAGAGACTCGATTCTCCTGCAGATGAGGCTTGAATCTGTTGGGTCCTTTGGGAAAGTAGGTCTGGAGAACTTCAGGGTGCAAACAGGACGCAACCATGCAGAGTTACAGTTTTTCTCATAACAGGGTGTTGGATTTTCTCAAGTCCTTTTTCTCTATCAATTGAGACAGTCGTGTAGTTTTTGTCCTTCATTATGACAGTGTGGCAGATTATCTTGATTGATGTTCATATTTTGAGCCATCCTTCCATTCCAGGAGTAAATCCCACTTGGTCAGGGAGTATAATCCTTTAATGTGCTACGGAATACAGTTTGCTAGTATTTTGTTGGGGATTTGGCATCAGCAGTTATCGGGAAAATCGGTCTGTAGTTTTCTTTTCCTGTAGCTTTCTTGTCTGGGCTTGGTATCAGGATAATGCTGGCCTTATACATTGAGGTTGGAAGTGTTCCTCTTGTTTAGCTTTTCAGAAGAATGTGAGGAGGATTGCTGTTAATTATTTAAATCCTTGGTAGAATTCTCCGGTAAAGCCATCTGGTCCTGGGCTTTTCTTTTTTGGGAGATTTTTGATGACTAATTCAATCTTTTACTAGTTATAGGTCTTTTCAGATAATTATTTGTTCATGATTCAATCTTGGTAGGTTGTATATTTCTAGGAATTTTTCAATTTCTTCCAGATTACCCAATTTGTTGGTATATAGCCATTGTTCATGACATTCTCTTACAATATTTTTTATTTATGTGGCATCAGTTGTAAGGGGCCTCTTTCATTTCTGATTTAATTGAGTCTTCCCTCTTTTTTTCTTAGCTAATCTAGCTAAGAGTTTCTGTTAATTTTGTTGATCTTTTCAAAAATCCAGCTCTTCAGTTTGTTGATTTTTCTATTGTTTTCTATTATTGTGTTTATCTCTGTTCTAATCATTACCATTTCCTTCTTTCTGCTAATTCATGTTTAACTTGTTCTTCTTTTTCTAGTTCCTTGAGATGTAAAGTTAGGTTGTTTATTTGAGATCCATCTTCTTTTTAAATGTAAGTTTTCACCTCTATGAATTTCCCTCTTAATACTGCTCTCATTGCATCCTATAAGTTTTGGTATGTTGCGTTTTTGTTTTCATTTGTCTTGAGATATTCTCTATTTTTCCCTGTGGTATCTTCCTTGATCCTTTGGTTTCTTAAGAGTCTGTTTTTAAATATTCACTAATTGTGAAGTTTCCCGTTTTCCTTCTGCTGTTGATTTCTAGTTTCATTCCTTTGTGATCAGAACATATATTTTCTATAATTTCAAACTCTTACATTTGTTAAGACTTGTTTCGTGGCCGATCATATGGTCTCTCTTGGAAGATATTCCACGTGCCCTTGGGAAGAATGTATTATATATTCTGCTGTTGTTGTGTAGAGTGTTCTATATACGTCCGTTAGGTCCAATTGGTCTATAGTGCTGTTCAAGTCCTTTGCTTCCTTACTGGTCTTCTATCTGTTTCTTCTATCCATTGTTGAAAGGCGAGTATTGAGGTCTCTTACCATTGTTGTGTTCCTGTTTATTTCTTGTAGACAGCATATAGTTGGATCTTCTTTTTTTTTTTCTTTTCATTTTTAATCAACTCAATCTGTCTTTTGATTAGGGAGTTTAATTAATTTACATTTGAAGAAATTACTGGTAAGGAAGACTTACTACTGCCAATTTGTTAATTGTTTACTGTATGTTTTATGGCTATTTTGTCTCCATTTTTCCTCCTTACTCCTTTCCTTTGTACTTTCAAAATTTTTTATAGGCCAGGTGTGGTGGCTCACACCTGTAATCCCAGCACTTTGGGAGGCTGAGGCAGGCAGATCACGAGGTCAGGAGTTTGAGACCAGCCTGACCAACATGGTGAAAACCCATCTCTACTAAAAATACAAAAATTAGCCGGGCATGGTGGTGCACACCTGTAATCCCAGCTACTCAGGAGGCTGAGGCAGGAGAATCACTTGAACCTGGGAAGCAGAGGTTGCAGTGAGCCGAGATTGCACCACTGCGCTCCAGCCTGGGTGACAGAGCAAGACTCTGTCTCAAAAAAAAAAAAAAATTATAGTGACATGCTTTGATTTCTTATTTCCTTTTGTATGTCTTCTATAAATATTTTCTTTATATTCACCTTGGGATTACATAAAATATCTTAAAGTTATAATGATCCATTTTAAACTGATAGCAGTTTAACCTCAATTGCACTCAAAAACTGTACTCTTTTACACCTTCACTCCCCTACACTTGGCTATTGACGTCGCAAATTATCTCTTTTATATTGTGTAACCATTAACAGAGTTCTATGATTATTTTTAAATGTTTTCATCTTTTAAATTCTATACAAGAATTAAAAGTGATTTATATACTAACATTATGATAGTACAGGATTCTACATTTGTCTATATATTTACCTTTTCTAGAGAGTTTCATATTTTCATGTAGTTTGGGATTGCTGTCTAGTGTCCTTTTATTTCAACTCGAAGAACTCCTTTTAGCATTTCTTGTAGGAAATATCTCGTGGTGTTGAATTCTCTCAGCTTTTGTTTATTTGGGATGATTTTTGAAGGATAATTTTGCTGGATATAGTGTTCTTGGCTGACTGTTTTTACTCTGATAGCACTTTGAATATATCATTCTACTCCCTTCTGGCCTACAAAGTTTCTGCTCAGAAACCCACTTATAATCTTATGGGAGCTCCCTTGCACTGATGAGTTGCTTTTCTCTTGCTGTTTTCAAGATTCTTATTTTGTCTTTGACTTCTGACAGTTTGATGATAATGGGTCTCTTTGGATTTATTCTAGTTGAATTTCTTGAACTCTTATGTCCATTCTTTTGCTCAAATTTGGGAAGTTTTCAGCCATGATTTCTTCAAATAGGCCTTCACCTCTTTCTCTCTCTATTCTGGAACTCCCATAATGTGTGCACAGGCATATCTTTTATTATTGTGCTTTGCTTTATTGCACTTCACAGACATTGTGGGTTTTTTTGTTTGTTTGTTTTTTTGAGATGAGGTCTTGCTCTGTCTCCCAGGCTGGCGTGCAGTGGCATGATCTTGGCTCACTGTAACCTCCACCTACCAGGCTCCGGAAATCCTCCCACCTCAGCCTCCCAAGTAGCTGGGACTGCAGGTGTGCACCACCACGCTTGGCTGATTTTTTTTTATTTTTTGTAGAGACAGTGTTTTGCCATGTTGCCCAGGCCGGTCTCAAACTCCCGGACTCACACAATCTGCCTGCCTCGGCCTCCCAAAGTGCTGGGATTACAGGCATGAGCCACCGTGCACAACTGACATTGTGTTTTTGTTTTGCAAATGGAAAGTCTGCGGCAACTCTGCATCCAGCAAGTCCACCAGTGCCATTTTTCCAACAGCATGTGCTCACTTCTTGTCTCTGTGTCACATTTTAGTACAATTTATAATAATAATTTTAATTTTCTTTATTGTTATATATGTTATAGTGACCTGTGATTGGTGATCTTTAATGTTACTATTACAATTGTTTTGGAGTGCCATGCGCCTTGCCCATACCATATCAGATGGTGAACTGAATCGATAAATGTTATGTATGTTCTGACTGCTCCACCAGCTGGCCATTCCTTCACCTTTCTCCCTCTCCTTGAGCCTCCCTATTACCTGAGACACAATAATATTGAAATTAGGTTAATAGCCCTACAATGACCTAAGTGTTCAAGTGAAAGCAAGAGTCACACATCTCTCACTTTAGGTCAAAAGCTGGAAGTGACGTTAGTGAGCTTAGTGAGGAAGGTGTGTCAATAACCAAGATAGGCTGAAAGCTAGGCCTCTTGCTCCAAGTAGTTAGCCATGTTATAAATGCAAAGGAAAAGTTATTTAAGAAAATTAAAAGTGCTCTTCTAGTGGACACATAAATAAGAAAGTAAAACAGCCTTGTTGCTGATACGAAGATAGTTGTAGTGGTCTGTGTAGAAGATCTAATCAACCACAATATTCCATTAAGCCAAAGCCCAATCCAGAGCAAGGTCTTAACGCTCTTCAATTCTGTGAAGGCTGAGAGAGGTAAGGAAACCACAGGAGAAAAGTTTGAAGTTAGCTGTTCATGATGCTTAAGAAAAGAAGCCATTTCCATAACATAAAAGCACAAGGTGAAGCAGCAAATGCTAATGTAGAGGCTTCAGCAAGTTCTCCGGAAGATCTAGCTGAGCTGCTTGATGAAGGCGGCTACACTAAACAACAGATTTGCAATGTAGATGAAACAGCATTCTATTGAAATAAGATGCCATCTCGAACTTTTAGAGCTGAAGAGGAGACGTTAATACCTGGCATCAATTCTGCAAAGGACAGACTGACTGTCTTGTTAATTACTAACGCAGTTGGTGATTTTAAGTCGAAGCCAATGCTTATTTACCATATTGAACATTCTAAGGCCCTTAAGAATTATGCCGCATCTACTCTGTTTGCACTCTATAAATGGCACATAAAGCTTTGATGACAGCACATTTGTTATAGCACGGTTTACTGAATATTTTAAGCCCCCTGTTGAGAACTATGCACAGGAAAAAAATGTCTTTCAAAATATTACTGGTTATTTATAATGCAGCTGGTCACCCAAGAGCTCTGATGAAGATGTACTAAATTAATATTGTTTTCATGCCTGCTAACACAATATCCATTTGCAGCCCATAGATCAAGGAGTAATTTTGACTTTCATCTTATTATTTAAGAAGTACATTTCTGGCTGGGCACAGTGGCTCACGCCTGTAATCCCAGCACTTTGGGAGGCCGAGGCGGGTGGATCACGAGGTCAGGAGATCGAGACCATCCTGGCTCACACGGTGAAACCCCGTCTCTACTAAAAATACAAAATATTAGCCGGGCGTGATGGCGGGCGCCTGTAGTCCCAGCTACTCGGGAGGCTGAGGCAGGAGAATGGCGTGAACCCAGGAGGCAGAGCTTGCAGTGAGTGGAGATTGCTCCACTGCACTCCAGCCTGGGTGACAGAGCAAGACTCCGTCTCAAAAAAAAAGAAAGAAATACATTTCTTAAGGCTATAGCTGCCGTAGATAGTGATTGCTCTGCTGGATCCGAACAAAGCGAATGGAATGCCTTCTGGAAGTAGTTCACCACTCTACATGCCATTAAGAACGTTCCTGTTTCATGGGAGGAGGCAAAATATCAACATGAACAGGAGTCTGCAGGGATTTAATCCCAGCCCTCACAGGTGACTCTGAGTGGTTCAAGACTTTAATGGAGGCAGGAACTGCAGATGGTGGAAACGGTGAGACAACTGGAATGAGAAGAGGAGCCTGACGATGTGGCTGAATTGCTGCAATCTCAGGGTAAAACTTTAATGAATGAGGAGTTTCTCCTTACGAATGAGCAAAGAAAGTTGTTTTTTGAGATGGAATCTACTCCTGGTAGAGACAAACATTCTTGAAGTGACAACAAGGTATTCAGAATATTACATAAAGCAGCAGCAGGGTTTGAGAGGACTGGCTCCAAATTTGAAAGAGGTTCTACTGTGAGTAAAATGCTGTGAAACGACATTACATACCGCAGATAAGTCTTTTGTGAAGGAAAGAGTCCATTGAAGAGCAAAATTCATTGTTGTCTTAAGAAATTGTCACGGTTACCCCAGTCTTCAGCAACTGCCACGCTGATCAGTTAGCAGACATCAACACTGAGGTAAGAGCCCCCATCATGAAAAAATTATGACTTGTTGAAGGCTTAGATGATCATTAGCATTTTTAGCCAAAGAAAGTATTTTCATTAAGGTATATACTTTTTTATACATAATGCTATTGCACAATTAACAGGCTACAGTATAGTATAATCATTACTTTTATATGCGCCGGGAAACCAAAATATTTTGTGACTCACCTTGCTGTGGTATTCACATTATGGCAGTGGCCTGGGATCAAACCCACAGCGTCTCTGGGGTAAAAAACCTCCATTGTTCTGCCTGATGTTTTCCCGTAAGTCTCACAGGCTCTCATTACTTTCTTTATGCTTTTTTTCCCTCCTCTCACTCAATAATTTCAGATAATTTTTCTTCAAATTTGATGGTTCTTTCTCCATGATCAAGTCTGCTGTTGAACTCCTCTATTGATCTTAAAATTCAGTTATTCTTCAGTTTCCGAATTTCTGTTTTGTTCAGTTTTTATAATTTCTATCTCTGTTGTTATCTCATTTTGTTCATAAGTCGTATTCTGAATTCGTTCAGTTGTCTCTGTTCTTGTTTAGCTCACTGGGCATCTTTAAGAAGGTTACCTTGAATGATCAGTTAATTCATCTCTGTGTCTTTACGGTCATTTCCTGAGATATATTTTGTTCCTTTGACTGGGCCTTGGTTTCCTGTTTCTTTGTATGCCTTGTGACCTTGTATTGATATTTGGGCATTTCAAATACATTGTGCTTCCCGCAGTCTTTGTTAACTTGCTTTGTACTTTCACTAATCAGCCCAGGTAGAGATTCTGGAACTTCTCAGCCTTTTCTGGGGATGCATCTTCTTTGGGCTTGTGTAAGTAGTTTCCCAGTTAGAGTTTTGCCCATGTTTTTCAGGAGGCCTCTGTCCTCTGGTGTCTGTGGCTCCGCAGGATCCTTTGTGCTGAGCGAAGATGCTCGTCTTTGCTCTCAGCAGCCCCTTACCTGACATTCAAGCTCTGCAAGTTTCCCTCAGTGCTCTGAGTCAGGTGAGGCAGATACCAGTCCCATGGGCAGCCCCCTGAAAAGCGAGAACATTGGATGCATGTTCCACTCTTCACTCTCCCTCTCTAGAGAGCAGCCAAGCATTGAGGGCATTGAGGGCTCCTATCATGCCAGGGAGCAGTAGGCACCAGGGCACAAAATGCTGTGACTTTTTTTCTTATCTGCTCAGATGTGGCCCTTCTGGGCTTTGCACTCACAGGGGGTGCTGCAACCTCCTAATCGGATTCTGGGGTTCTCACACTGGCTGTTCTGTCCATAGATTATTGCTAACCAGTGTCTCGGTGGGGGAACGAGGACTCCCTGGGGCTTCCTAGTTCTCCATCTTGCTGGTGTCCCTGTATTTAATTTGTTCTTAGATTATCTATGTTGATTTATAAATTCTAGCTCATTCATTTTAATATTCCATTTAATTAGACCGTATACCATGATTTAGGCGTCTATTCTGTGGAGGAATCCACATTCATAATGACAGGTTTTCATGTTTGCTGCATTCTGGGTGTGAGATCGTAACATTCACATAACAAGGCGAAGGAATCTCCAGGTCACACTGAGTGAAGGACAGACCAAGATGGGTCCTAGGCAGCTGGATTTCCTACTTTTAAGTGGCTGAGCTGTCAGAAACCTAGGGCCTAGCAGCGGTGTTCCTCCAGGAAAGTGGGAGGAGAAATAGCCGCTGGACTAGGTGAGAACCGCGTCACGTTTGAGAAGCGCTGATGGCTTCCTGCAGGACGGGAACGGACTGTGTTCCTTTAGCTCGCACGGCTCCTCTCCTGAGTGTGAATTTCGGTGCCTGTTGCTCCTTTACTATAAATCAACCTTGTGTTTTAAGGCAGCCGTCCCCAACCATTTTGGTACCAGTTTCATGGGAGACAATTTTCCCACGTACTGTGGGATGAGGGTGGGGTTGGGGGGATGGTTTTGGGATGAAACTGTTCCACCTCGTATGCTCAGGCATTAGTTAGATTCTCATAAGGAGCACGCAACCTGGATCCCTCTCACACGCACAGCTCACGACAGGGTTCATGCTCCTATGAGATCGAATGCCGCCGCCGATCCGACGGGAGGCTGTGCGGCCCAGTTCCTGACAGGCCACGGACCAGTACCTGTCCACACTTGGGGTTGGGCACCCCTGTTTAAAGGTACCTTGTTAATCTGCCCAGTCTAGTCCCAGAGAACGCCAAAGGCATGTGTTCATGCCAAATTGTGTGTGTTCATACCTGGAGACGTGCCGTGGACACCCCATCCCTGGAGGCAGGGATCAGAATCCTCTGATCTACGGGATGCTTCCAGCAGTCTGAGGGGCGCAGAGCTGGCAGTGTTGCGTTCGTGAGGAGCCAGGCCAGCACTGGCCCAGAGCAGCGATGTTCCTGCCAGTTCCCAGGGAATGAGAAGGAGTGAGGGCACAGGATCCTGACCACCCCCGCCGTGCCTGGTGTGGGTGGCCCTTCAGGAGGCAGCCCGCTCTGCAGGGTGCTCGTACCCTGCTGTCCTAGGCATGTCCTGCCCTCAGAGTCCCAGGTTACTGGATGATAAAATCTGTAGTTACTGCATATATTTTCTTGCAGTTCTAACGTACCCTTTCCTTCTTACTATCAGATTTTAAATGTAAAAATTAATTCAAGTGAAGACAGTACCTCTGTTTTCTCATCGAGTTCCAAGAAATGAACCGAGGTGGATTTTCCTGTTCTCCCCGGAAGACCAAGAACCTTACGAGGGCCCTGGCTTTCTTCCCTTCTCTTTTCTTTCTTTCTCTTTTATTTTCTTATTTTTGTGCTTTTCTTTCAAGCCCAGTTTCATGATTTAAGACCTCAGTGCTTTCAGGTTCCAAAAATCTGGGCTGGTTCCTTGCTGAACCAACAGGGGTGTCCAGCCAGGTTCCTTCTCTTGGGGCCCACATAATCCCATTGTATGGTCCTGGCAGGTGGCCAGACACTTTTCCTGCCCTGGGGTCTGCTAGTGAGAGGATCCTCAATACAATTAATTCCCTAATCTCTTCATTCCAGCACTTTCCGTCTACGTTATTGAAAGATGGGCATTCAAGATGCTCGTTTTTAATGACTTGCTATTTTCACCCACTTGGTCACAGCTCTGTTGGGTTTTATTGTCAGCGGGTAAAACACCTGCCTCTGGGCTGTGCAGATAAACTATAGAAAACTGCGTGCTCCCCCTCCCTCATCCAGCAATGAGCCCAGGCAGGCAGGGGAATTAACATGCACAACTTAATTGGATTTTCATCGTGTCCTGCTGGCTGACAGAGGAGCTCCCCTCTCTTCATGATTGCATTCAAATGCCAGGTTTAATTCTAAGACTGCAGCTTGGAAGGTGAAAGGCATTTCGCAGTAAACAGTTCATTAAGAGACACTTCCAGCCTCTCCGCCTCCTCTGAGTGTGGAGAGGGGCTTTCTGTGGAAGGGGGTTTTGATTTAATTGAGAACTCAGTGAATGCCTGGGACCGTGCTGTGGGCCCAGGACCGTTGCCACAGACGTACCGTTGCTCCCAGGACCATTGCCACAGACGCACTGTTGCTCTGCCCCATTTGCACTGGGGTTTCCGAGTGCAGCCAGTTCAGATGCCCAGGACCCAGGAACCCTCCCCAGTGACTCACTCCACGGCCACCCTGGGCCGCCACCCTGCACACCGGGTGCTGTTGCCCCACTGAGAGAGGTGGGATCAGAGGCTGGGAGATTCATGAACATGACTAGGGTCACCTGGCCGAAGTGGTGGAGCTGCACTCCGCTCTGAGGGTGGCTGATGGCCAGGGCCCTTCTGAATGAATGAATGAACTAGTAGCCACAAATGGGGACTCTCCTGCCTGAAGTGATGGTTGGGGTGAGCCCAGGGCTGGAGGTGGGGCGTGCCTGGGAGGACAGAAGAGTTAGGAGCAGGGAAGGTGGGAGCCACAGTCCCTGATGTGCATCCGAACCTGCAGGGTCCTGGCAGAGAATGGGGTGAGGCAGGCACCACATCTGCACGAGACAGGAGCCACCTGCCGACGTTCTGTCCCCAGACCTGGTGCCCCTGCTCCTGACCCTACAACTGAGGTTTTGGACCCAAAGCCTCAGAACTGAACTCCAGCTTAGGATACGGAATCTGCCTCCAAAAGGAAAAGAGCACAGCTCTGGGAGCACACACCCCCATCCCCTCTGCAGACTCCACAGGCTGAGGCCGCCCTCCCGCCATCTGCACTCCAGTGCCCACCCTCACCTGCTGTTCTCCACACAAAATGTGAGGGCAGGTCTCCCTATGCTCAGGGGGTTGGGCCTCATAGGGCCTGGAGAAGCACATCTTTATCCTCACAGCACCAAGTCAGCCCATCACACAACCACAGACACACAGACACATACACACACACACACAGGCACACACATACAGACATGCAGACACTCATACACATGCACAAACCTATACCTGCTCATGTACCACACACACCCAGAGACACATACACTCATGTACACACAGGCACCTACATACAGACATGTAGACACGTACTTATACACAGACACATACACACACATGCAGAGACACACGTGCACACATACATGCATGTATGTGCACATATAGACACGGACATGCACAGGTACAGCTACATATGCATATGAAGGCATGTGCACATGTACATGCAGAAACACACGCACACACATACAGACATGCATGTGCACACACATACACATATGAACACACGTGCACATGCACACGGGCACACATGTATAGAGATGCATGTGCACACAGAGATGCATATAGACATACAGGCACACATACAGAGACACACATGCACACACAGCTATACAGATATACACAGGCACACATGCACACACACGTAGACACACGTGTGCACATGCAGACACAGAAAGACACATACACATGCTTGAATGTCCACACAGACACACATATGGAGACACATACAGTCACACCCATAGCGAAGCACACACGTGCACACCCACTTCAGTTTGGTGCCCGCATTTCCTGCCCTGCCCTTTTCTCTGAAAGGAGAACAGAAAATCCCAAAGCCTGGTACTGACAGCATTTAGCTAATTGTGCAAACTGCACCCTCACCTGGAGCAAAGACTTCTCTGAGTTTTATCCTCAGATTAGAATGGATTAAAGTTGTTCCATGCTGAATTCATCCTGGAGTTTCACAACTCCTGGGGCAGGCAGCTGGGCTGGGCCTCACTCGTCCTTCCTTGGGGCCCTGCTGCCCTGTTCTCCTGTGGAGTTTCCCTTCCCGCAAGAACAGAGCAATCACTGGGTGTGGGAAAATGATTTTCCATATGGAAAAAGAAATAAGATCCCTGTTTCCCAACATACACAAAGCCCCACATGGGGCAAGAACTTATGTAAGAGTTTTCCTTTAAAAGTTTGTCTGGAAAATGTAGGTGGACAATTTATGACCTTGGCTGTAGGGAAGGATTTCTTAAATACATTGTAAGAAGCCCTGGCTATAAAATAGGAGTCTGATAAAATGTGAGTACATTTAAAAAACTATTGGTCAAAAATAACCTCAAAGAAAATGAAAGAGAAGCTAAAAATGAGAGGATACTCACCGGGGACATAACTAACGAAGGGTAGGCCTCAGGAATGTGTAAGGAATTTCTATAAATCAGTAAGAATGAGAAAAAGACCCCGAGACATGAAGGGGCATCTCCCTCAGGAGAAGCAGATGTGAAGCAGTGTTTGCAGACTTGGACATGTGGAGATCAAGACCCAGTGAAATGCCATCTGGCTCACTTGTTGGCCAGCACTGGCCGGGGGTGAGAGGCCTGCGTGGCCGCCCAGCCTCACAGGCCTTTCCCAGTGCTCTTGGGCCTTGGGCACAAAGGGTTTTGGAGGCCTCCTGTCCTGTGAGAAAAGGGCTGCCCAGGGCCAGTCAGCAGGCTGTGTGCAGGCCCAGAGAGACCCTGCCTGGGACCCTGCCTGCTTGTGGGCTCCTTCTCTGTCCTCAGCTACCCTTCCTGGGCAGTGGCCCAGCTGGAGACCAGCAGGTGGGTGAGTCACAGCTGTGGGTCTGAGCTGTGGGCGCCTGTGCTCCCCAACTGTGGGGGCAGAGAGGGCATGAGGAAGTGGTTCTGTGAGTCAGAGACCCCTGGGGGACGTGTTTTCCAGAACACTGACCTCCCCATGGCCCTGACAGAAGTGGGGCTGTGGCTTCTGTCCTGTGAGCCTTAGACACATGCAGACAGACACATAGAAACACATGGACATGCACACAGAAGCACATGTACATATGCATAGAGACACACACTGACATGGAGACACATATGTAGACACGCATATACACATGCAGACAGACACACAGGGACATAGACACACACAGACACACGGACACACACATATCTACACCCAGATGTACATGTGCAGACACGCTCACACCTACAGACACACGTGGACATAGACACACATGGCCTTGGGGAGGGCGTGAGACGAGTGCTACTGGCTGCTCACCCGCAGCTCCCTCCCTACCACACAGAGATGCTGTCAGATCAGGGCCACCTTGGGCCCTGCAGGCTCACAGAGCAGTGGAAAGGGAGGGGTCCCTGATGGGGTCTTCCTAGGAGAGGAGCCTGCTGGGTTGGGTTTGCTTCTGAACCCTAAAACCCAATATGGGGACCCTCCATGACTCCACGTAAGAATTAGGAGAAGCAGGTGAGACACAGGGCCCAAGAGAGTTTGCAAAACCTGGGAACGGTGAGAAGCTGGAGCTGAGGCCATGACCTGGGCTCGGCAGCAGGAGGGGGAGCGGCCTTCGGGGAGGGCAGGGCTGCAGCCGCGGAGGTGGGGGCCACACCCAGGCTGGGTTTTCTCTTTACGGCCATGGCGCCAGAGGGATTTGGGGATTGAGATTTGCCTGGTGCCTGATGGAGAGTGGATGGGAGAGGGTGCCTGGAGGCCATGAGGCCGGCCCGGACCCTGGCGTTTCCAATGCTGAGCTGGTCCGCCCTTGAGGCCAGGGAATGCTGTGGTAGGAGGTTGATGGCCCTGGAGATGTCCACATCAGAATCCTTGGGATCTGTGCAGATGTGGATAAATTAAGGGCTTGGGGATGGGGAGAGCATCCTGCAGTATTGAGTGAGGCCGGGGCAATGACATGTCCCGAGAGGGATCTGACGGCAGGGGGAGCCCACGTGACTAGGAAGGCAGCCGCTGGAGGGTCCAGGAACACTGGCTGAACGTGGGGGCCTCTAGGAGTGGAACAGGGGACGCTGCTGGAGCCTCCAGGAGGCCAGGCCTGGCTGATACCTTGGTTTTAGCCCAGTGAGGCCTGTTCCAGACCGCTCACCTCCAGAGCTGGGAGAGGGCGAAGGCATTGTTTTGAGCAAAGCCCGTTATAATGGCAGCAGGGGACTGATGGGAAGCTTCGTGACTTGGATGGGCAGTGACTTCTGGAGGGAGCTGTTGT
The DNA here is from genome assembly GCF_000001405.40 of Homo sapiens. Lineage (NCBI taxonomy): Eukaryota > Metazoa > Chordata > Mammalia > Primates > Hominidae > Homo > Homo sapiens. The sequence continues at coordinate 88,145 of NC_000007.14, read as the reverse complement.
CTACCCTCTGCCCCCGTTAGACACCTGCGGTACCCTCTCCCCCACCAGCGACAGGCGGGCTCAGATGCTGGGGTCTGTGTGCCCCAGGCACGGGCCACACATCCTGTTCTGGGTGTCAGTGCCGTCCATGGCCACCACTCCATCAGCACGAAAGCAACTAGGAGCTGAGTCTCCATCCGACTGGGGCCTGTGTTCCCTGACATCTTCCACACCCCAGGCAGACACGGCCCAGACAGCCACCTGCATCCTCTGTCACCTTCTCTCCCCACCATTGGTGGCCTGATGGCCCTGGGGCAGGTGGGTCACCTGGTGGGTGGCTGAGCACTCCCTCGAGGTCCCAAGGCCGATGCTGCACTGAGCCTGCAGCTCTTGCCATGGGCACTGGTGGGTCCCAAGTAACAGAGCAGAATCCCCAGGCAGCACATGGCTCTGGGCACTGGGGAAAAGGAAGGACCTGAGTGGTCACGCTGAGGAATCATCACTGTCCTCAGCAGAGCAGCGGAGGGACCTTTTGAAGTGCCCGCTGGCTGGAGCATCCCCAGTGGGGCCCCATCAGGATGCAGCCTAGAGGAAGCATCTCCCAGCACCCGTGTTGTGGGGGACCCTGTTCTTCCTCAGGTCCTGCTCAAAACTCTGCTCCAGGCACACCCCATTCAAACCCCCTGATAGAAATTTGTCTGGGCCTTGGCTGGAAATCTGCCAGCAATGGCAGAGGGGAGGGATCACAGCTTTAAGCTAAAAGGGACACCACGGGTGGAGCTCGGGGCCTCTGTGGGCCCAGATGCAGGGCCTGGGCAGTGGTCAGCCTTGCTCAGATATCCTGCACAGATCAAGTAGAAAGTTCTCAGCTGGACAAAAGACTCAGAAAGAAACATGTGGGGCAAACTCCTGGCCACCTGCCCATTGCTCCAACAGGCTGCATGGGGGCTGACCAGATGAACGGGCACCTGGCCTTCCCCTAATGAGCACAAGCTGCTCCCACAGGAAAACAAAAGTGTAATTCAGAGGGGGCCCTGGGGACCCACAAAGCCCTGCGGCCCGTGTGTGCTGATGGAGTTCATTTTCTGCATATTTGAGGGAGATAAAGCAATCATTGTGTGCGCCTCTTTACCCCCCAAGACCTCACTGATCCTTGGAGCTTTCTACCCGAAGAGTCTAATTACTGGGTCCAGGGTGACATAGGGGAGCCCCGTGGAACCAGGACCATCTGCTCAGGTCTCTCTGCTGCCCTGTGGCTCTGAGGGTCCTGCAGGAGGGAACCGCTGTGACCAGGACAGAGCGGGTCTTCCTGACACTGCGATACTGGCTTGAAGGAAGTGATGAAGAGCACACGTCCCTGGGTGGCCCTAAGCCAGGCTCAGCACTGGGGCCGATGGTCCTATCTAAGCCAAGCAGGCCCCAGAGCTTTCCCTGGTGCCCACAGCTCCATGGTCCAGGGTCTGAGATAGGAGGCTCAGATCTGGGTTGCTGATAAACTAGGCATCTAGTCCAGGGGCTGCTGGAGGCAGGAGGAGCCAAGACCTTCTCCTTGAGCTAAGATGAACTTAGGAGGCCAGGAACAAGGTCAGGAGGGCAGGGAGGAGCTCAGAAGGCCGAGGACAGGCTTGGGAGGCTGAGGACTCGCTCAGGAGGCTGAGGACCCGCTCAGGAGGCTGAAGAAGAGCTCAGGAGATTGAGGATGGGCTCAGGGCCTGGGGACAGGCTCTGGATGCTGGGGAGGAGCTCAGGAAGCCGGGGACAGGCTCAGGGGGCTGAGGAGGAGCTCAGGAGGCTGGGGAGGAGCTCAGGAGGATGAGGATGGGCTCAGGGGGCTGAGGACGAGCTCAGGAGGCTGAGAATGAGTTCAGGAGGCCAAGGCCGAGGTCAGGCGGTGGGGATGGGCTCAGGAAGCTGGTAACACTCTAATCCAAAAGCCCTTGGGCTGAGCAGAGCCCACCACTGGACCAGGGCCCGTGGCCGTGGGGGTCCCCAGGGAAGTTGCAGAGGGTGGTCTGAGCTCAAGGTAGTAGGAGTGGGGGTACCCCCCAGCTTCCCCCACACCCACCCCCATTTCCCTGCACACTGTGGCGTTGTCATGGAGGCGCTCTGCTCAGAGCCAAGCGGACCACACCCCACCATTCAGGCCCAGACACCCAGAGCCACCAGCACTTTCCACCGGGACAGGGCCTTCTGAGACAACTTTCCAGGACAGGCAAGGTGGGGACACCTCTGAGCCCCTTCCAGGAGCATATGATGAAGGAAAGGAAAGAGCAGAAATAATAATACTAGAAGTGGCCAGCAGCAACGGTGTGTCAGACACAGTGCCCAGCTCCCGGCAGAGTGGCTGGACACCGCACCATCTCCAGGCTGTGATCCAAGTTTCCCTCCCAGCCTAACTGTACCGGCTCCCTTTCAAGTGGTCGGCTGGCTGCCTCTTGTCAGCAGGCAGCAAGGAGGAAAAGAATGCCTTTCTGCTTCTCATTGGTAAAACCTTCCGCCCAGATAAGATGAGAGACAAAGATTTGGGAGAAAACCTGCTGCGAGCAAGGCCTGCCCTGAAAGGTGGAGTGCCCTGCACCTGGGCTGTGTCTCCCAGCCGGCCGTGCGGTCCACCGAGGCAGGGGCACATGTGCTCGAGACACGGCCCATGGTGAGGACCTGCACACAGACACCATTCACTCACGCACACACTCACGGAGGACACACCCACCCATATTGACACACTCACACACTGACACAGGTACACATTCACACACTCATGGACACACACACACACAGGCACACACAGACATGCATTCACACCACACACCTACACAGAAGCACTCACACACTCATGGACACTTACATCAGTACAAACACAGACATATTTGCACACGCACACAGACACACTCTCCTATACACCCACGGGGCACACATTCACACTCGCACACACACATCCACACTCACCTACACACCCACACACATTCACACACTCACACTCATGGGCACACACACCCACACAGACACAGAAACTCATGGACACACACACCAATGCAAACACAGATATTTTCACACACAGGTGTACATACACACTCAGCTACGCACCCACACAGGTGGATATGTGTGTATAGGAAAAGACACTCTCCAGGGTCGGGCACTCCCCGGTTTCAGGCATCTGCTGGGGTCCTGGAAGGCCCCCATGGGTGAGGGGCCACAGCGCACGCAGCCCCCAGCTCCTGGCTCTCACCCATTAGAAAGGACACCTGCCGCCCTGGGCATGAGCAGGACTGTGGGAGATTTGGGGTGGGGGCTTCACCGACGAACTGTGGGATTCTCCTCATCTGAGGCTGCTCCTGAGCCCACACGGATTTAGCATTTCACGTGCTGCTCACTAAACTGAGTGAACGAGTGGCAAATCAGCCACTGTGCGAGCCGCCTCTGTGGGAACCCAGGGCCGGGCTCTGCTCTGCAGACCTCTCCCCTGCCCAGGCCTTGGCTCCAGTGGGCACTTGTCCTGCCAGTGGCCATGGCCCTGGCAGGCTCCTCTGTTTTCCTGTCCATGAGCCCCTGCAAGAGGCCTTCTCTGTTCCAGTCCCTCGGCATCCCGCTCTCCTGGCTTCTCTGGGTGAGGAGTGAGGAAGGGTCACAGAGGGTCCTGCCTGCCCGTCAGTACCTCAGGGCCTGCTTGGAGGTGTGTGGGGCCCTTGTCCTCGTCCTTGGGTCTGTGACTCCAGATCTGAGGCCTGTTGGCCGGCCCTGCACCAGAGCTGCCTGCCTCGCTCCTGTGAGGAGGGACCCAGCGGCCCCCAGACAGGGGCAGAGGACAAGGTCGTCCTAATGCTGGGAGACGAAAGCCCCTTGGCGCTGTCCTGCGCCCGCAAGCCCTGCCACCCCAGTTTCCCTCTCGCTCTGCAGACGATGCCCTTGGCCTCATGCCCCAGTGCGTGTGGTGGAAGAGACGCACAGCGCAGCCTTGGGAGCCTGCCGGAGGCCCCCTGAAGGCTCAGCCTGCTGCTCTGACCCCCACACCAGCTGGAGTCCAAGTTTCCAGGAAGACTTCATCTCCCTTGCCCCTCGTCTGGTTCTCGGAGAGCTGGATGGGGCTTTCGCTCAGCAGCACGGGCACAGCTCCACTTCCAAAATGTGAGGGGCAGGGGCCCAGGTGTTGGATGCCTTCAGAGCCCTGGAGCCCCGGGAGGGGCTCTCAAGCCCACCTGCCTGAGTCGGGCATCAGGCAGGGAGAGTGCTGGGGCCTCCGCCCCTGCTGGCCCAGTGATGAAAACCAAGCATGAAGGGTGGGTGTTCATTGGTTACTTGCTGTGTGTGGCCTCTAAACATGCACCATTCCCTTTAATTTTCACAGGCTTCATGGGATGGTATTAGTGTTGCCACCGGACAGGCTGGCCCTGTGGAAGGAACATGGGCGTGGGCAGTTCCTGGCCTCTGGTCTTGACTCCTGACTCGGTTCCACCCCCTTGGGATGCTTGGCCCAATTCGTGGCTCAGAGCCCGGCTCTATCTATTTAATGGGAGCTGCACTTGAGGAGGGCCAGGGAATCATCTGGGCCAGCAGAGGCAGAGGCCCCCGCACGCTCCCTGCCCGATGCCCGACTCAGGCAGGTGGTGAAGGCATCCGAGACCTGAGCCCCTGCCCCTCACACTTTGAAAGTGGAGCTGCGCCCCTGTTGCTGAGCAGAAGCCCCACGCATGCAGGGGTGGGTTGGGAGGGGCCCCTGCCAGAGCCTCTCTCTACGCCGGCCTGGCTGTGGCATGTTCTCTCCAGATTTCCTCCAGGAGACGGCCCTGGTCCCTTGCCACAATAGAAATTATGCCCCATAATTTTCTGTTGTAAAACTTGATCTTTTTCTGCAAGCAAGTCATTAAAACTTCAGCTCTTGCACGCTCCATGTCCCATGAATGCCCAGGCCTTAGCACAGCTTCCGCAGTGCCAGAAGTTCCGTCAATCATGTTGAGTGATTGTAAATCACTCAATCAGTGGATGTAAATATGTGTACAAGAAGAAAGGAAGGAGTGGGGACACGGCCCCTTCCCCACAAGCCTCTCTCAAAAACCCGAACCTAACAGAATACAGGGGTGGAAACATGAACCTTTTCTCCATCTTCTGACCCTTAAGGACAGAGAGAAGCAGCAGGTTGTGATGTCAGTAGGAACTTGCAGACCAGGACAGCTGAGCGCTCACCGACGGCTCGCAGGACACCCTCAGTCACCGCCGCGCCCATCAGAAGAAACAGCAGGAACCAGACATTGCTCTGCCTGCAGAAATCACATCTGAAAATCAACTCTGCTTTGCTCCAAGCGACGGAGCTTTTTCATAAGTATAAAAAACAGCTAACTGGATAAAAACACCTTTCCTGGGGACCTGAGTGCTGCAATTCAAAGGGGCTGGCAGTGTGAGGCTGGAGAAGGGCTCCTGCAAGGCTCTTAGCTGGGCAGGCCGAGGGAGGCCCCTCTCGGTGAGCACGAAATCAGGGATGCCCCGGGCCGGTTAGGGATGGGGCCTGGACACCGTGAGATTTCCAGCAGGCTACACCTGGGGCTGCAGCCGGGGCAGCCCCCACAGAATACTCAGAGGCAGCGGGAAGTGCGGGCTGGTGACGAGAGTGGGAACACTGCCCCACACGCAGCCGCCTCGGTGCCACCTGGCGGACAAGCCGCCCCTGTCCCCCGCTTGGCCTCTCCACATGGCACATTTGCCCCTGGCAGTGCCCAGCCCCAGGTCCGGGTGACTGGGGACAAAGAATACCGATGGAAAAACAAGCTAACGAGCTCCTCCTAGGGAAGAGGCCCGCGCCAGGGAGGAGGCGGCCGTCTGGGCGGAGCTTCCCGATAGCCAGGCCCGGGCGGTGCCAGGACACTCACCTCAGGTCTCACCTGCAGAGCATCCACGAGTCACTCACGCTGGGCCAGGCACAGGCTGTGCACACAGAGGGCAGATCCAGACCACACGAGAGCATAGGTGCCCACGGGTGTGCAGGGATTGTGGGGGGAAAGGAGTGTGTGCTTGTGTGCCTGTAGGCGTGGGTGAGTGTAGGTGTGCCTGTGGGAGGGCGAGACCATGAGTGTGAGGGTGCGCGTGTGCCTGTGGGAGGGTGTGTGGGTGTGGGTGTGCGTGGGAGGGTGTGATTCTCTGTGGCTATGCCTGATTGTGTGTACATGTGGGTGCACATGCTGCACGTCTGTGCTGCAGGAACCCATAGGGCCAACCTTAGGTCCTAATTCTGGGCTGACCGTGTGCCGTCCCCCACGGGCCCCTGCATCCTCAGTTCCTCATCTGTGCTGTGGGCAGAAGCTGGGCTGCCCCACACTCCAACATCCCTAGAAGGGAAGGGATGGGGGCAGGGCTGGCTGCAGGGACAGCCTCGCCCACAGCAGACACGGAGGCCGCAGGGTCATGCCCTGGATGGATGTCACCCAGGAAAGGTTTTGCCTCCTCCAGTCTTTTAAATCAGGCTCCAGGGGCTACGATTACAGCCCTGGGCTTTCTCCCACCCCTCAGCCTCCCTCCTTAGTAGCTCCACAGCAGCTCCCTCCCGAGAGCACACCACCCCTGCACGCTCGGAGCTGCATCCTCCAGCCCCTCATTCCCCGCTCATCTACTCCGACCCAGCTAGGGATCCGGCTTCCCTCTTAGGGCCATTTCTCCTTTGCCAGCATTTTCTCTTTTTCCCTTCTGTCATGCTCTGCTACGTCCTCATGCAAAATTAAGCCCAAAACGGTTTCAGTTACTCCCAACCCTGAGACGAGTTTTAAAATAGTGACAGGATGAACATTGCACCTCCCATGTGAGGGCTGTAAGGGACTGGCAGTTCCAAATGCATCTTCCACTCGCAAAGTTGCTAACACAAATCCCATGGGGAAAAGGGAACTGCTGACCTTTCAGCGTGCAGATCTTCCCTTTGATGGGTTTGCTTGCCTTCAGAAGAGCCCAGGAAAGCTCTGCACAGAGGCCTGTGTGTTTCCGCCCCTCCTGTAGGAAATGAACGGGTGCGTCTTCTCCGTTGCCTTTATTGATCAAGGCCAAAATCACAAGTATAAATTACCACGGTGGGAAACGAGCTGCTCTGATGAGAGGCAGGTGGAGGAGGCTGCCTCGTCAATAATGCATCTGATCAGAAAGAAGGGGCTGATCAGAGGGAGGCCGGGCTCTTTGAAGGTTCTGGTTTTCCCATGGAAAGCTCCACCAGCTCTCTGCCTGCCGAGTTCCTGCTCTTGCCCAGACGGGAAGTGCGAGTAGCTTTCATATCAGACCTGCCGCTCACCGCACCGAACTGATTCCATGGACACTGACATTTGTCTCTGCAGCAGGGATGGCCGCCCTGGCCCAGGCTCCTGTCGCTGTGGATGCCTCTGTCTGGCACAGACTTTCGGTGTTAGAGCCCCAGGTGAAGGTCTGAAGCAAGAAGGAAAAGGACACAGAATCCCATCCCTTCTGAACCTGCGGGGTGCAGCTGCCCTGAGATCCTGTAGCATTTCACTGGGAGCCGACAGGGATGGTTTGCGCGCTGCCGGGATGCGTGAACAGGGGAGTCCATGAGGCCCCAGGGCTGACTCAGGGCACGTGCAGTTTGGGGAGCAGCCAGGGAGGCCTCCCGGGCAGCCGGTTGGAGGACAGAGCTGAGGACATGCAGGCTGTCTTCTATGATCAAGGGTGGGTGAGGCACAGAGGAACTCTGGTGACTGGATGCAGCCGTGAGGGGCCGTGGCCCAGAGAAGCACAGCGGTGTCTCACCTGGCTTCTCCGCAGGCCTCAGACTCATGTCCTCAGGTGCAGGTGCCGGGCCCTCCTCCAACAGTGAGCTCCAGCTGCCTCCCCGCTCAGGGGCCACTCTGCTCTGATACGGGCTCTGATACCGGCCTGCAGCTCCCCTGCTCTTGGTTTCTGCCTGGTGTCACCTTCTTCCACGACACCCAGTCCCAGGATGACTGACGCCCAGGGAGATCTGTCGCCTCTCCTCAGAGACCACGTGTGTTCACCCTCAGCAGCAACACGCTGCTCCTTCCTCAAGGCGTCCTGAGGCATTGTGCATTTTCACCATTTCTGGGATGTAAAGAAGGAGGAATATTTGTCAGATAGAGAGAATACCGGTTCAGATGGTTGGTGGCTCAGATAGAGGTGGGGTTTGTTCCAGCCAGCAGCCCGTCCTGAGAACCAGGCTGGAAGAAACACCCTTCCCTGTGGCACCACAACACCTACACCGAGGTGTCTGTGCTGCCTGGAAAGCACAGCGGGTCTCCCCAGTGCTGGGGTCATCCGGAGAGCCAAGCACCTTCCAGAGGGGCCTCGAAGTGGGGGCGCAGGCCCCCCAGGGTGCTCAGGCCAGACCGCCTCCTCTCAGGTGGTTCAGCAAGAGCTTCCTTCTGCCTCAGATCCTTCCAGGGTGTGGACTCTCTTTTCTTATGATTCTTTTCTGACTTCACCTTACGTCACTCCTCTCCAAACCTAGATGGTAAGCCCGGTGAGGGCAGGGACCCAGCCTCCCTCATTTGCAAAGCAACCACAGTCCCTGCCTTTGAGCTGGGCTGCGGGTGCCAAGCTGGAGAGCATTTCGCCCTCTCCCACTGCTGCTGAAACAGAAACCACAAATTTAGTGGTTTAAAATAGCACAGATTTCTTCTCTTGCAGAGCTGGAGCTCAGAAGTCCGAAATGAGTTTCACTGAGCCAAAGCCAGGGAGTCAGCAGGGCTGGTCCCTCTGGAGGCTGCAGAACACCTGCTCTGCACCTCCTCCGACCTCTGCAGCTACTCGGCACCCAGGACAGCTGTGCGGCCTCTGCTGTGTCTGAGCTGCTGTTGTTCCATGGCCCTCTCTGTGAGCTTGCTGTCTCCCTCTCATAAGGGCCCTCTCATAAGTCATCTGGATGACCCAGAACAACCTCCCAATCTCTAGACACTTATCCCGACTCCATCCATAGAGCCCCTCTTGCATGTAAGGTAACGTGCCCACGGGTTCGTGGGATTAGGATGTGCACACCTTTGGGGGCCTGATGTAGCTGACCATGCCCACATCTGGTGGGAACCCACCTTCAGGGTTTCTTCTCCTTGGACACAGGCTACAGCCCAAGCCAAATGTCCCAGAGCCTGGAGCAGGGCCCCCCTCCCCCACTTTCCCCAAAGAGGCTGGCGCGGGAACAAAGCCCCTGTGTGGTCAGGAGCTGGGAGGGCAAGACAACAGGACAACAGGACAAGAGGACAACAGAACAACAGGGCAACAGGGCAACAGGACAACAGGGCAACAGCCATCCCAGCTGGAGAAGATTCTCAGGGCTGAGGTGGAGGAGGTCGGGCCTCAGCCGGGCTCAGAGTGGAACTGCTGGTCCTCCTGTCACAGGAGGGAGGGGCGGTGGGACGAGAAGAGAGGGCCTTGAGATCAAGCCGTGCCCTGCTGAAGCCTGGCAGAGGGGCTGTGCCTCTGGGCAGCTGGTGTGAGCTGTCGTCTCGTGCAGCTGGTCTAGGATGGGGCAGAGGCTCTGCCTTGACCTCTCCCACCCCTGGTGCCGTTTGCCCCTCCACTCCAGGTGAGCACAGCTGGAGCAGCAGCTACCTCGAGGACTGGTGGCCTTTGAGGTTTTCCCGATGGACTTTTCAGGCTTCTACCAGCGGGGCCCCGTGACTGTACTGCCTCCTGGGAGCTGCTACTGGGAGAGGCAGCGGTACAATCCCCCCTGCCTAGAGTCGACAAGGGGCTTCCCCCACTGAGCTGAGACAAGGCCTTCTGTCTGCATCATGAAGCTGCGATCGCAGCTTCCTACAGCTATGAAACTCCCAGCTCAACCTACCCAGACTCAGTTCTGTTCCCTGAGACCTTCGGTCACAATGGCACACCTCGCCTGGGGTGGAACCTCCTGCTGTTTACACTGATGAGCCCAGGGTGAGCAGAGACAAAGCGCCAAGACACGCTCGTCAGAGAAGGGCTGGGCAGGACAGACACAGGCGGACGGGGTGGCCAGAGAGGCCGTGAGAAACGGACAAAACAGAGGGGGTGCATTTATCATCCCTTCCTCAGCACCTGACGCCAGGCAGGCCCTGTGCCTCCCCAGTCCAACTCTTCCAGGCATGGCAGATGCTTGATAATTCCTGCGACTGACCCAAAGGCTTCACAGGTCAGATTCCAGCCAGGCCGAGCCTGTGAAAAGACTTTCTTCAGAAAGTCCAGACCATGGTGATCATGGCCATTACGGCTGGAAATGTTGGAAGACCTGCAGGGCACTGGGCTTGTACCTTGGCCTCTTGGACATGCCCCCTCCTCCCTCGTCTCTCCCCAGGGAGAGTCAGTGATGGTTCACCTGGTGCCAGGCTGTTCCCCATCCAGCAGGAGCCATTAGGGAGGAGCAGGTGGGCTGGGCCCCACAGACTGAGAGAGTCAGGTCCCCAGCCCTGGAGAAGAGGGCACTTTAATGAGTGTATTTGGCCAATGGCCAGTCACTGAGGCTGTGGTCCTCCCCTGTCTCCGAGAAGCCCCAACATGGAAGGCTCAGGATAGAATATCCCCACGACTCTGCTCACCACCCTTCCCATGAGGCTCTGTCATGGGAGGCTGGATGCAGTGTGTCTTTAAAATGGTCTGCCCATCTCAGTCTCAAACTTTGGAAAGGGTTAACATAGCATTCCATGACCAGGATGCTGGGACTTTGAAGTTTCCTCTGCTAAACAGGACAGAGGCTCAAAAGAGCTCTTCCTCAAGCTGATTTAACCAGTCACTGGGTGGCACAGGCCATCAGCACTGAAGGCCGCAGCAGAGAGATAAAGGGATGCAGCATCACTTATGCAAAAGCAGAATAAGGTATTACCCCTTGCAGATGGCTTCTGGCATTTACCTTGTTGGATCTCATGTTAGCAACGACCACCAACACTTCTGAACGGCAACACTTAACGAGAGTCTTTCCATTCTCCATGAAAAGAGTTGTCACAGAAAAATTTAAAGGGAAAGTGGCTTTAAACTGCCCATATCAAGTAGGAGTCTCCGGGGCTTGGCTGAGCCGGCGTTCCTCCTTTTAACTCTTCCATGTCGTTGGAGAGCCAGAGTTTGAAAGCCCTGGGACAGAAGAGGAGGAAGAAAAGGAAGACGAGGAGGACAAGGGGGAGGGAGAGGACAAGGAGGAGGCAGAGGAGGAGAATTAGGAAGAGGAAGAGGGGGATGAGGAGGAGGAAGAAGAAGACAAGGAGGAGGAGGAGGAGAGGGAGGAGGACAAGGAGGAGGTGAAGGAGGAGGAGTCGGGGAGAAGGAGGAGGAATCGGGGAGAAGGAGGAGAATGAGGAGGACAAGGAAGAGAACGAAGAGGAGGAGAAGGAGGAGGAGAAGGAGGACTAGGAGGAAGAGGAGAATGACAAGGAGGGGGATAAGGAGGACAAGGAGGACAATGGATGAGGAGGAGGGAGTAGGAGGAGGAGGGGTGGGAGAAGGAGAAGGGGGACAAGGGGGAGAAGGAGGAGTGGGGGAGATGGAGGGGCCAGAGGAGGAGGCAGCCGTGGTGGCTTGGGCGAGGCGTTGGATCCAGGGCGTGCTTGGCTGTTGCCTCCCTCTAGACCTCAGTCTCCTGTCCTGTGAAATGGGCAGGCACTGAGGACCCTGTAGCATCCCCAGCCCATGAGTGCTCACCCCCTTGATGAGCAGCATCACTAGCATGTAGAAATACGTTGGATTTAAGATATTTCCAAGCCATGGTCCTAAGTGGTGGCCACATTCCAGGCTCTCCCCAGAGGCGATGAGGATCCGGTTGCTTGGCATAAGCCTCACTGTCGTGTTGTCAGCCTCTTTCCGCCTGCATCCTGGCGGGCGTGCAGGGCGTCCCACTGAGATTTTCAGTTGCACTTCCTGATCACTACGAGGCTGAGCAGCTTTTCTCAAACTCATCAGCTATTTGTGTATCTTCCAAACTGTTTGCTCAAGTCTTTGCCCGTTTTTTAGAATTGGGCAGTAGTCTGTTGATTGCTGGGTCTCCAGAGTTGCTTACACATTCTTCACGGAGGTCTTTCATCAGGTGTCCCTGTTGTGTGTATTTTCACCCAATGACTTCCATTTTCTTGAAGTCCAATTTATCAATCTCCCTCCTTCCCCTGTGGCTGGTTTTTTAAAATGAAGTTTTTTTATTTTAGAGCCATTTCGAGTTTACAGAATTGTTATAAAGATAGTGCCGGGTTCCCATATACTTCACACAGTTTGCTTATTATTAATGCCTTACATTATAATGGTACATTTGTCAGAATTAGCGAACAAACGTTGCTACATAATCATTGACTAAAGCCCACGGTTCATTTGGTTTGTTCTCGGGTGGCCGTTTTGTGGGCCGGGATCCTATCCAGGATCCCGTGTGACATTTGCTTGTCACATCTCCTTGGGGTCCTCTGGGCCGTGACAGTTTCTCAGACCTTCCTTGTTTTCTGTGATCTTGAAAGTTCTGAGAAGCTGGGCTCAGGCATCTGGGGGAGTGTCTGTCTGCCGGGATTCGTGTGAAGTCTTTTTTTCATGATCAGATTCCGGCTGTGGGCTCCTTGGAGGAAGAGCAGAGGTGAGGCGCTTCTCATCCCACCACATCAGGGGTCCTGCCTCGGCCCGGCTCACTGCTGATGTTGACCTCGGCTACCTGGCAGAGTGTGCTGGCCAGGTTTCTCCAGCATGAAGTCACTCTCGTTTCCCTTGTAAGTTATACTCTAGTTTATCAATCTTCTAGTTTATGGCTTGTGTCTTCTCTATGAAACCCTTGCCTAACCTCTCAGTTTCGAAGGTATGAGAGGGAGGAGTCAAGATTCTTTTTTCTTTTCATGTGGATATCCAGTTTTCTTTTATTTATTTATATATTTTATATTTTAGAGACAGGATCTCACTCTATCGCCCAAGCTGCGATCACAGCTTACTGCAGCCTAAAACCCCTGGGCTCAAGGGATCCTCCTGCCTCAGTGTGCACCTCCGTGCCTGGCCTACATCTCTGTGTAGAGACACAGAGTCTTATGACGTTGCCCACACTCGTCTCAAACTTCTGGACCCAAGCAATCCTCCCACCTTGGCATCCCAAAGTCCTGGGACTACAGGCATGAGCCCCCCTACGCCTGGCCTGATATCCAGTTATTTCAGTACCATGTTTCCCCCTGTGGTTTTGGCCTGCTTGTTGAAAATCATGGGATGGTGCCTGTCAGCCTATTTCTGTAATCTCTGCTCTATGCCAGTGAGCTATTTCTTTATGGCCTTACTGGTGCAAGATTTGACAACTCTTCTGATGGTGCCGTTCCTTTCCAGATGGCTGTGGCTGCCCTTAGACCTTCACTTCTCTATGAACTTCTAAATCATCCTGTTAATTTAGAGGAAAAGTCCACAGGGACTCCAATTGAGATTTCATTGAATGATTAGATCAATTTGTGAAGAATTAGACATGGTATATTTAGAGATATATCTCTCAGATAATTTTTGGTGTAGAGGTTTTCACATATATTGTGAAATTTATCCCTAAGTATTTGATTTTACTATTATAGATAGTATTTTTGACTTCATTTTAAATTAGTCATCAGCAGTATATAGAAATACAACCTATCTTTATATGTTGACCTGGTGTCCTGTGATGTTTTAAATTAGTCATCAGTAGTATATAGAAATACAACTGATCTTTACATATTGACTTGGTGTCTTGTGATGTTGCAGAATTCACTTATTGGTTCAAGTTGATTTTTTGTGGATCCCTTAGGATTTGCCACCTCATTTCACCTGTAAATGAGGATAGTTTTACTTATTTCTTTCCAATATTTATACTTTTCTTTTCCTCATCTCTTTGCACTGGCTGGAACCTCCCAGCCCAATGCTCACAAGAAGAGATGAAAACAAAAACAGAAACCCTTCCCTTTCTTCCCGTTTTAGGGGGAGTTATTGAGTATTTCATCATTTGTTATGATGTTGGCTATAGAAAAAAAAAAGTCTGTTTTAACAGTGCTAGCCACTGGGAGAGTAAGCACCTGCCCTTATCTGAAGGCAGGGACTTCTGAAGGCCTCTGTGCTGAGTTCTGAATGACTTCCAGGTCACAATTAGCTCCTGGATGTTTACAGACAGAGTTGCAGAGACGTTCCTGGGTCCCATGACCCTCGTTGGACCCCAGGCATGCAGAGGAGAAAGCAGCATCTTCAGGCCCAGCCCAGGCGAGTGTCCTGCCTCTCTCACTGTCAGGGACACCAGGAGCTTGCAGCAATGGTCCTAACCTCTCCCTGCTCCTTCTCCACTTTATGGTCCTTACAACAAGGTGATCCCCTGCTCCAGGATCTCAATCATAAAGGGTAGAGAAGCATCTGCATGAGGCAAAGGTGGACCTGAAAGCCAGGCCAGTGTTCGTCCCCACTCGGCCTTGTTGCTCCGTCTCGTCCAGGCTAGGACCTGCATGTGTCAGGGAAGCAGCTGGCTGAGCTCATGGGGGCAGAGAACCACCAATGAGGTGGGGGAAGAAGGGTCACGCTTCATTTAGAGGGGCACACAGTGCAGAGGAGGCCAAGCCTAGCCAGGCAAGACGTGCATCCTGAGTGAGGCGGGTAAGACCACCTGCATTCAATGTGCCCCCTGTGTCTCCCCACTTCTCAACTCTTGTCACACACTGGACAAGCAGAGACAGGAGAGAATCACTCCATGTCATTGAATAAACTGGTTTAGAGCTCTGTCTGATAAAACCACAGTGAACAGAGAAGAAAAGAGCCATCACGTTTTAACGTGTGGCCGGCCTGGGTGCAGCCTTCTGAGGGATCCCTGGAAGCCTCAAAGCTGTTTCATCTCGGGCGAGGTTTGGGGTCCTCTGATATTTGTGGATTCTCTACCATATGGGAGACCTAAAGGCTCAGAACATGAAAAGTGTTGGGAGCTTTAAACTACTATCTTCTCTTTTCCTTTGGTATAATGCACGAGAGCAAAATGTACAAACGGATCTCCTTATATTCAAGGTACAGACCAAGGAATGAAACCCAGGGAGCAAAAGGCACGGCAGACAGCAGCAGGGCCAGGGCTGTGTCCAGTCCTCTGAAGACTGCGGGGTCTGCATAAAGGAGGCCCTGTCTCTTCCCCTTGGGCTGCTCGAACCACACAAGCTGATGTCAGGAGTGACTAAATCTACCCTAATTAATAGACCATTTGACTCAAGTCCAAGCTAGGAAGCAAACACACAAAAGGGGTTCCTATAAAAACACCAGCAGAGGCGTGGAGCCGTTTCAGCGTGCTGTGGAGAGAGCTAACTCCTGGCTGCTGATCTCTTGAGGCCACGTGAGGGCTCCATCCCTGGCTTGGCCACCCACACCTCCCCTGGGCCGGCACCTTCTTATCTGGATGAAAACAATTCCCACCTCACGGGAAAGTTTTAGGCAACATTGTTTATTGCCTGCAAATCTCCCTGTGTGGTCTTGCTGAGGCACCAGCAAAAGCAAGTTGCTTCTGCTCTCTGTTGACTTTGGCCAGAGCATCTTTTGACCGAGATTTGACCGAGTCACCACCGTCTGACAATTATGAAGGATTTGATTTATTCTGGACACTGGCCTTCTCCAAGCTGGCGGCTAATAAGGTCCTATGAATGTTGTTAGCTGTTGACTGTGGACCACATAATTTCTCAGAGATTCTGCACCTCTTTGGAGCACTAGCTGGGCGCTGCCTAGAGGAACTTTCTGATGGTGGAAATGTCAACTGATGGTTAGATGTTCAGGGGCACCCCATCCACCAGGCGAGCTCAAAGCAAATGTCCTTCTGGAGTGAGTGCATGGGTCCAGGAAGGCCAGGCGTGTCGTTGTGTAGGGCCATGAGTCCACGAGGAAATGAGGTGCCAGTCCCCCTGCTCCTCACAGGGATGGACCAGGACTCACTTCCGACCAGTTAATTAATGGACTTGAGACTTGTGACCCACCTGAGGACCAAGTCCTCGCAGGACACTGGGTAGAATGGTAAAGACAAGCAGTGGCATGACCTCTAATGCCAGAGTAAGAACGTGTGCCCCATGCCCACCCAGGTCGCTAGGCCTTTACTGCAGCCGAGGCACTGCCTCTGTCTGGTCTTGGGTGCTGAGAGGCCGGGACCTGCTGCGGCCTGTTGGATGCAGCTCATGCTCCCTCCCGAGTCCGTGGCAGAGAGCAGTAGGGGCTCAGGGCAGCAGAAGGCCCAGGGAGAGGAGGGGGTCCTCCCTGTCCAGGTGAGAGCCTTTGACCATACCAAGAGCCGGGGTGCCCAGTTGTCCTTCAGCACTGGGCCTTCCAGCAGGCCAAGGGAGACAGTATCAGAACCTCATCATAGGCTGTTTAAGGCTTAAGTGAGGTTGACAGGTGAAATGCTGAGAACAGTGGCCCCTTGCAAGCGTTTTATGGAGGTAGTGTATTCTCTGTGTGGATGCAGGTGGGGAGAAGTGGAAGGAAGGACGCACGAGAGCCAGCCTGCGACACCTAAGGACAGAAACACCTCCCTCAGCCCAGCCGGCTGCTGACTCCATGCGAAGAGGGACACCAACCCTTACAATCTCACAGTGTCCTGCCCCTGCCCCTGCCCCTGTGAGGTGGGAATCATTATGCTTATTTCACAGACGCAGAAACTCAGAGGGCTTAAGGGTGATTGAAGTTTGCTCCAGGCCTGGACTCGAATCTGTGTCTTTGCTTCCTAGGGCGATGCTCCTTCCATCAAAACCAGAGTGTCCCAGCTCTAGATTCCCCACCCAATCTCCTGTGGCTGTCTCAGCACCTCCGTCGTGAATCCGTGCATCCCTTCAGACGACTGCCTTCCGATGCGGCCCCTGACCTGCCCCCCCTCCCATCACTGAATAGGACTCCTTTTCTCCTGGATTTCCTGTAGGAAGTTTCAAAATGCTCTCCAGGTTTTCTGTGGGTGGATTATCTCTCTGGATCTTTCTAAGTGAGTCCTGTGTTTCACCACAGCTCCCCCCACACAGTTGAGCAGCTATACCGTGGGGAGGCTTGGTCCTCTTGCCCCATTTGTGTGATGTCTATTGTAGTCATGCCAGGGGCCTGACGTCAGAGCTCCACCCTGACATGTGCTCATGCCGGTTTACAAACCCTCCCAGGACCAGGCCCCCATCCCTCTTCCAGGACAGGCTCTGGAGCTCCAGCTATTAACAGAAACATTCCAGCCAGCATCCCCAGCGACCCTCAGCCTCCCACGCCGCTGTGTCTTCATGACCACAGCCTGGCCACCACACAGCTCCCCCTCGAGGACTGTGACCACTTCCAGCCATGGTCTCTTTGGGCCATGCGGGATATATTCCCATTTCCCCATTCAGCTGGGAGATTTTACCAAGGGATTTTTCTCTCCTGGCTCCAATGCCAGCAAGACCATGAACAGCTGTGTCATTTTCACTTTCAAGCCTCAGCTTCTGTACATAAAAGAATACAGTTAATAATGATTTCCTCCTCCTGAGTTGCTATCGAATGAAATGAGGTTATGCACACACATGGCAAGGACCTGCGTCTGGCAGGAACAACATCTCGTTCATCGTCACGAGTGCTTCCCCTTGTGTCTTCCCTCCTGTGTGTGAGATGGGGGCTCCCAGGCCTCCCCAACAAAATACACTTTTCCAGCTTTTAGAGGCCAGCATTCCTAACTCCTTGCAATAAATCCCTATCATAGTACAAATGTAAACACATCACGGTATAACTCAAATCAACTGCCCCTGATTTTGCCATGTTTCAACCTTTTGTTGCCATCGGCCTCCTAAACAATGGCTTTAATGGAAACACAGGTATGTAAGCTTGGAAGCTGCTCAAACATCTCAGTCATTCAGAAATAAAACACTTGTTGAGCAGCTAGTCTGTGCCAGTTGTATTAGAGTTCTCCATAGAAACAGAACCAATAGGATGTACACAGAGAGAGGGATGAGCAGGGATTTTTCATGTGACTTGGCTCATGTGATTATGGAGGATGAGAAGTCCTGCTGCCATCTACAAGCTGGAGAACCAGGGAAGTTGCTGGTGTACGTCCCAGAGTCCAAAGGCCTGAGAACCCCGAGTTCTGATGTTTGGGGGCAGGAGAAGATGGATGTCTCAGATCCAGAATAAGGAAAGAATTCACCCTTCCTCTGCCTTTTTGTTCTATCTGGGCCCTCAGGCTTCGGGGAGCGTGGATTTTCCCACTCACTCCCCTGATTCAAATGCTGATCTCTTCTGGAAACGCCCTCTCAGGCGCACTTAGAAAGCATGTTTTATCAGCTATCTGGGTTTCCCTCAGCCTAGTCAAGTTGACACCTAAAATTAACCAACCACTAGGCAATGCACTACCTAGGAATACAGAGCCAAGGAGGGCGGGATCTTCCCAGGCCTCAAGGTCTCTCATCTGCTGAGCAGACAGGCATGAGGCAGACTCTCACAAGTAATGAGGTTGGTGGCAAGGACTACAAAAGAGAAAGACCTCTGCCAAATGCAAAGTTGCACTAAGTGCTAAGATAAACCCAAATCTGAACTGCAGAACTGTGGGCTGTGATGTTCACCCCCACCCAAGTGGCTATGTTGCCACATCGGCTGCAAACACACGTGAATTTGGGCTGGGTATCAGGAAATGAAGTCATTCTGGGAATGGAAATTTAAGTTTGTTTAGGGAACTGTGAAAATCTGCATTGGAAAACAGATACTGCGAGAGAACAGGTTCTGCAGACCAGCAAACAGTCCAGACACTGGATTTCTTCCCTGCTCGCTGTCTGGCCGCAGCCGGGGACAGACAGGCAGAGCGGGAGTGTGTCAGAAGGTGTTTTCTAGGGGAAAGAAGGAATAAAAGAAGACCCAGAGGAGATGCAGTGACATTGGGAGGTTCAATAATTTCCCTGCAGTTGAGGGCCCCTGGACCACTGTTTCCCCAGCAGAGACAAGGTGGTGGCTGGCATGGAGGGAGCTTCCTTAGAAGAACCCAGAACCCGTGTATTCCCCTGAGAAGCGTCATGAAACCTCTCAGATCTCTAATCCCTGCACTGCCCTGGAGCATCAAGGCCCAGCGCTGCTGTTGAATATTGTGAATGTGGTTTTTCCTGACTCACCATAGAGTCAATAATTTCCAGTTTAAACGAATTTGTTAAATATCCTTCCAGATTATGCCATTATCCAAGAAAGTCTTAGCTGGCTAAACTGGAGCAAGCAATTCTTTTAGGAATTTGGAGAGCAAGTTTATTGTGAGAATCTTGCAGCTGTGACAGACAAATGTCCACAGAGAGAAGAGACGCCTCTGAGAGGTAGTGAGCCTGATAACTGAGCACCGGGAGGGCTGCAGAGCCGGACGGCTCAGCCTCGGGATCCAGCCCAGCCTCTCCTTCCCTACAGTGAGCTCCTGCCAGACCGCAATACCCTCCAGCATTCCTGACATGAATCTGACCTGCGGGGAGGATCCGGGACAGACCCAGCGCAGTGGAGCATCTCGGATGCCATGAGTTTCCCGGTAAGCAGCACCCAGGGGCAGCACCAGGGGGAGCAGCTTCTCAAGCTCCCAAGGGAGCATGTGGGTCGACGAACAGCAGCCTCCTCTGACTTCTTCCTGGTGATCTGGGGAAGGAGGAGGCAGCGTCGGCGCTTGGCCGCATTGATATATGACACCTTGTCCCTCCTTTTCATGGCCCCCTTTTCTCCAAATCAGGATTGTAAGGCCCATTGACTAACTTCTACAGATTGCCACAAGCTCGAAACATAGTAATTGAGGGAAAGAACAGCATTGCTGATGTTATTCCTTCAATCATAACACAAAAATTCTGAGTGTGTGCCAGGAAATGTCCTACCCAATGGAGATTAAAATTTTAGAGGGAGGAGACACGCAATAAACAACTAAATAATTAAAACATGCAGTGTGCAAGGCAATGATAAGGGCTTTGAAGAAAAGTAAAGCAGAAAAGGGGTAGACAATGTGAAAGCAGGAAGCAAGTTCAAAGGTATGGCCAGGGAAGGTCTTCCCAAGAGGTTGTCACCTGCACAGAGACTGAGACAGGCGAGGGCCAGGCGAGCTGGGCCTGGGAGAAGTGGGAGCACACCCAGATCATTCCAGGAGCAGGGAGGCCAGTGAGAACCATGAGCTGTGGAAGATGGAGTTGAGAGGGAATGGGGCAGGGCCGGCGGGGCCTTGCAGGCCACTTGGAGGCGTGGAGAAGTTCCTGGATGTTTGGAGCAGAAAGCTGGCATTCCCCGACCTGTTTCAACAGGAACATTGTGGCCAATGTATTGGCCACAGATCCACGCTGTAGGCCTGATGAACAGAAGTCTGACACATGTCACCACAATAGAGAGTCACAGCATCTCAATTCTCAGACTTAAACCAGTTTACAGACCCAGAGCCCCTGGAGGAAGGGCCCACCACACTGCCACCTGGTGAAACCATAGAGGCTTCACCTTCCTCCCAGCCTTCCCTGAAGACGCTGTGGCCGCTGTCTCTACTGTGGAAGGGAACTGATCAGACTCTGCAAGCGTTACTGGACACTGGCTCCGAAATGACACCAACTCCTGGAAACCCCAAATGTCACTGTGGTTCACAGTCAGGGTGGGGACTTTTGGGTCAGCAGAGTTTTGGCTCAGGTTTGATGCATAGTGGGGCCCACTGCGTCCACCCTGTGGTTATTTCCCCAGTTCCCAAATTCATGACTTGAACTGACTATTCAACAATGGGCAAAATCCTCACATTGGCTCTCCGGGCCACAGAGCGAGAGCTGTTATGGTCAGAAAGGCCAAACAGAGGCCGCTGGAACTGCGTCTTCCTGTGAAAATAGCAAACTAAATGCAATACCATATCCCTGGAGGATTGCAGAGATGAGGGCCACCATCACAGACTTGAGGAGGCAGGGGTGGGATTCCTACCACATCTCCGTACAGCTCACCTACTCGGCCCGCACGGAAGGGAGACAGCTCTTGGAGAAGGACTGAGGATTATCATAAACTTAACCGGGGTCACTCTAGTTGCAGCTGCTGGTCCAGATTCAGTTTTGTTCCTGTTTTAAAGCAACCAGTCCTCTGGCTCCTGGTCTGTAATGTGTATTGGTCACCCCAGGGGTGGATGAGCCTTGGCTGTTGGTTCTAATTCAGAAATTCCCAAGGAAGGTTCGTGGTTGGCCCAGTGTGGGGCAGACCTTCCCAAGAACCAATTGTCCTTGGAGAGGGTAGCAGAGCACTTTCCCCGGTTGAGGCCAGCGTGGGGCTCGGAGGATGTTTCAAAGGAGCACTTTGAAAGTCTTGGAAGAGGTGTGTGAAATCAAGAGCAGGGCTTCAGCCCACCGGCCCTCCGCTGCTCAGTGCAGCTCATGCCCCATGACCTCCCAGGAAAAGAGAAATGCCCATCCCAGGAGATCCCGCGCTCCACCGTGGTCAGAGCAGAGGAAGGCGCCTTCTGTGGCCAGGCCAGTTCACAACCGGCAGATTCCCCGAGTGCACAGGCAGGAGAGGGGCTGGCCACTGCCTTCGCTCTCTTCTGAGCAGCACTGCTGTCTGAAGAGTCCAGTCCCCACACAGCTGAGGTGAGGGATGGTGCTGATGCGGAATGTCAAGTGAGATGCATTTGTTTTCAGCTTGGAAGACGCTGTTTACTGTTAATTTGACCAAGTGTTAGAGCGCATCTTGGAGAGAAGATAAGACGTGGTCAGAGATGTAAAATGATACTCATTGTGCCTGTAGAGGCCGGGCTCAGGGCCCTGGTGCTTCTCCCAGCTCTGGGTGACCGTCTGCAATGGAGGGAGTGTGTGGGCTGGTTTGCCAGCGGAGAGATTTGCCTCACGTCACCAGGAGCCTGGCCGAGCACCACGGTGACCGTGGCCGGGTGGAAGGAGATGGACGCCCACTTGTGCAATTTGCTTCCATTCTTTCTCCAGGGGCCATTTCAGAATAAAATGTAATGGCCCTTTCTTGTTCAGTGTGGTCTCAAATGGAAGTTTCTTGCTTTGGATGCAGTTTCCATGGGAAGAGAGAGTGAAGGGTGCCACCCATGGTTTTTGTCTGGGAACAGGCTCTGTCTGGGCCTGGATCCCCGAGTCTCCCCAGACCCCTGGATGGCCCCTAGCCTCCCTCAACCAGAGGGCATGAATGATGCTGCTTCCCCAGCAATTTGTCTGTTTTCTGAAAGTTGCTGGTGATTCTGCACAGTGCTTGGAAGTCCTCTCTGTGCTCAGAAGCACTTATACTCAATGCAGCAGCGACCCGTCTCAGGGCACCAGCACAGCAGGGAGAGAAACTGAGGCGGTCAGGGTGGGGGGACTTCACCAGCGAGTCAGCAGGGTTGGTTCAGGCCAGAGTGTGGGGAAAGGCTCAAGGAATTAGAATTCTCACCTGATTGTGCCCCCAGCTGTGGACCGTGGCCTCGGCTTCCTTTTCTCTATGATGACACAGTTGGGAAAGCTGCTCTCCAGGGTCCCCCGGCAGCTCTGATGGCCGGGAACACCCACAGCCTGGCCCCAATCAGAGACGGTCAGCAAGGACACGCCGGCAGGGCTCAAAGAACCCCAGAGCTGAAGGGTAACACTGCACACTGTAACAGCTGCTTGCCCAGATGGTGACTAATGGCAGCTTCCAAGATCATTGCCTCACTGGTCTCAGCCCCGTAATAGGAAAATCCTCCTGCAAGCATGTGACTGTCCCCACCTGAGGAATGGGGGATGTTTACTAACCCCCATCATATAAGGAAGTGTTCACATTACAGACAGAAATGCCACATCTTGGCTAAAGGACGTGTCCGTTGAATCCCTTAAGTCTCCTGTGTTGCCGTCACTTACTGGGAGGTGTTCGGGTGGGACCTTGGGGCGTGGCCCCTTGCTCTTTTGTTGCCACTCTTGATTTTTAAAAGCATCGTCTTGTTCAGTTAGTACACCTGAAATCTGCTTTTATACAAACGAGTTAAAGCTCAGCCTTAGCCGTGGTCCAGTGGGGCCTGGGGAGGGCCTCTGCACAAGATGCACGGGGCAGACCCCACAGCACCTGGCAGGCCAGCACCCGGGGCCCAGCGGCCTAGTTTGGCCACAGCAGGGAACATGCTGCCTCCACCCCTTCCCCGGCTGGACCACAGAGACCTAGATAGTAACTAAGCAGAGACTCATGTCCTTGCTGTCTTTCATGGCGTGATTAAAGGGCCCTGCCCCACCGGGCGCTGAGAGCTCTGAGAGGAACGTCTGCTCCTGGCTTCTCTGGGAAGTGGGGCCCAAGTGAGGCTGAGCTGTGTGCAACATGCAGGACATACAGGCTCAGAGTGGTGGGGACAAAGCAAGGACAAAGCCTCACGACAACGGAGCAGGTTACAGAGCTGGCTGTGACTTCAGATGAGTCACGTGAGGCTGGCATGGCTGTGCTCCCTTGGGCATGCAGTCTCCCAAGAAGCAGCAAGAAGAATCCACCCTTCAGAACAGCCTGCAAGGGGGAGCACCCTCCCTGCCTGCTCCTCTGTCCAGAAAGCTGCCTCCCCACCCTTCAGCAGTTCCAGGAGGGGCGACTCCTCCAGGCCTGAACTGAAGGGA
The DNA here is from genome assembly GCF_000001405.40 of Homo sapiens. NCBI lineage: Eukaryota > Metazoa > Chordata > Mammalia > Primates > Hominidae > Homo > Homo sapiens. Next base: position 64,764 of record NC_000007.14, on the reverse strand, counting down.
CTGGGAGTATGGAGCACTGAGCAAGAAGAAGGGAGGGGGGCTGAGAGGAGGGGGCAGTGCACATGTCTGTGCTCTCAGAAATGGTGGAAAGTGACAGCCCTGGCCCCTAGATGTCCAGAATTTAAGAAAGATTCTTGGAATTCACACACACAAGCACAGAAACGCACACCCAACACCCCTTAGCCCCTGCTGGTCATGAGACTTATTATTGGATACCTGGGAGTCTGCATGTGTCAGATCCCAGTGGTGACAAACCCGCTGGGCCCCCTTCCCATCACTCACTGTCCCCAGGACAGAGGCATCACCAGGCCTTTGTCCCTCTGCTGGGGCAGCTGGGTTGGTGGGGAATAGAGGGGCAAGGGAGAGACCTGGGGCTTCTTTTCTCCAGCGTCACTCTGGGGGGATGAACATACTATGCATTTCTCCTCCTGCGATAATCAGGCCCCCAGGCCTGCCCCTGCACTGCAGCTCCCACCTGGTGCCTGGCTGCCTCAAGCCAGCAAGATGCCTCAGCCTCTGGAGGTGAAGAGGAAAGCTAGCTGTGCCCCCTCGTGGAGAGCTGCTGGTTTATTCCTTAGTGATGGGTCCTGAGCATTGGCCTGATTATTTTATAACAGACTGATATCTTTCTGGAGCCCCTGAAAACACAATTTGCTGCCATGAAGCATGTTGTTTCCTTGCTAAAACAGTAAGTTGTTTTCCCCAGCAATTCTAACAGGCAGAAAACCCCATCTCAGCACATCAGCATCCCTTCCCTACCCCAGGAAGGTAAGAGAGGGCTGCAGGAAGAGGAAGGAAGTGCTAGAAAGCGGCTCTTCCCCGGGGAGCAGCGGTCAGTCAGTCTGCATCCTCCTGGGAGCCTGGTTCCTGCAGTTCCCACGGCCGCGCTGGGTAAAGCTGGCAGGGAAGACAGACCTCTACCGGGGCAGGGCCCTGCAACTTCTTTCTCCTGTGTTAAACTGTTCTCAATGACAGAGGCTGCCACGATGGTGACACTGAAGAGCACTGGCAAACGCACTAGCTGAGTAACAGACACTGTAACCAGCTGGCTGCAGCATTCGGAGTGGGCAGGTGCTGCCTGACTGCAGGGGCAGAGGGCCACCTGTCTTCTCTATACCCTCCTGGCATTTCAGAGCCCTGGCCGGAGCCTGCCTTCCTGGCCATGGTTGTGAGCAGGGAGGCCTGGGTGTACACATGTCCATGTGTGGATCAGCAGAGGGGTAGAATGGGGCCTGTGTTTTTTTACCCCATCCCACCCGATGGCCTACACTGGAAAGTCATGTAGGAATGAGGAAGGTGAAGAGGGTTCTTGCAGCTGACACCAGGCTGCCCAGCTTAGGTTGGGCCTGACCTCAGGACTGAGCCCAGCCCCCAGGGTAGCTCCAGTGCTCACCGTCGTACCCCATGATGCCCTACTGTGTTCACAGGGGAATGAGGCAGCTCCCCACACACAGAGGGCTCCCAGGACAGGTCCTGCCAAGGGTGTGACTGATGACCTGCTCCCCGAGTCCAAAGTCCTGGCTGAGGTCCAGGCAGCTGTGTCAGGGAGGGTCACATGGCACAGGCCAGGAAGCCCCTGCCCATGGGGCTAGCATTTACCATCCACGAATACGCTCCCTTTCAGGGTGCCTGATAGTGGTGAGGGTCAGATCGGGCATGATGGAAGTCATGGCCAGGGCAGGAGGTAAAGAGGATGCATGGTCTCCTGGCCTCGGAGAGTTTGCAAAGTGCCCCTCGGATCTGTCACGGGCTGGAGAGCAGAGCACGCGGTCACTGCGCTTGGTGGCTCCTACCTGTGGGGGCTCCTCGCCGCTGGACCAGAGACAGCTTTCTGGGGGGCCTTCTGCTGCTCGCTGATATGGCCAGCCTGGCCTCTGTCTTAGACCGGGCACCGCAGTCCCCAGACCCAGGCCCTGGCCCCTGACTACCCGACACCTAGCATTGCTCTGTGTCAAGTAGCAGAGGCGCCTCTGTTCGTTACTTAAAGAATGGATTTGTTTCTGCTGACTCCAGAAACAGCAGTGCACATGAACCACTGTCATCGAGGACAAGGCCTCCTTCTCCCAGGCTGACCACAGGTGGGCACTGCCAGGAGCTCTGATCACTGTGTTCTCTGCACATGTAGGACGAGCTGAGCAGGCCCAGCTCTTTCCTCACGACTGCGTGCGTGGGGTCGTTCAGCACTCTGAGTCCCCTCCTGAAAGACCCTGGTGGTGCTCTGCCATCACGTCAGTGCCTGTGTGTTTCGTGGAGCACGTGGGCAGCCCTGTGATCCCCGTGGGCCTGGCAGCGGTGCCATCTACTTGTCTGCTTATCTCAGGCCATCTACTTTGTGCTGAGCCCTGAAGTGAGCTCTGGGTCCCAGAAAGGAGCTGGAGGGGGGACCTGTACCCTGGAGGAGTGAACAGCCTGGTGGGGAAGGGGACACGGACACCTACAAGTCAGACACGGGATCATAGGGCCTTCGAGGAGGAGGCCTGGGCTTCCACAAAGACAGCAGCGCCCCATCCTGTTCGTAATCTACCCCCAGGACGCCCCTCCAAGGCTGTGTGGAGGTAGACCTGGAGAGCTGGAAAGAGTCTCCACCCCTCTCCTCGTAGAAGTGGGAACACAGAAAGGAAGGAGCAAGGACGTGACCCCTCCACAGACCCCAGGCCCCGGGATGGCTGTTAGAGGGCCCTGGCTCAGGGGCCCCTCCTGTCCCTCAGGGAAGGGGGTGCTTTGGACTCCCCAAGCTGCAGGGAGTGGTCAGGCCCCATGAGGGTGGCAGAGGAACTGGTGTGGGGAGGAGGAGAGTGTGGGGGCTGTGCCTGGCCCTGGGGGTGCAAGCAGAACCCTCTGGGAGGGATCACAGGGAGACTTTTAGCCCTGAACGGGGAGTTGCCCAGAAGACCTTTGGGGGGCTTTAGTCTTGGCCTCGGCATCTCCTCTGGTCCCAGCCCTGACCCCAGAGATGGAAGGTGTCCAAGGTCAGCATGTGTCCGGCCTGTGGCCTCTGTTGGGCAGGCCATGCACAAAGAGGCCTCATTTATCCACAAAGACACCCTCTGTCGCCGAGACACAGACTCTTCCCTTCCAAGACCAGTGGAAAGGACTCGGGGACGGCTCCTTCGAGCCGGAAAACCCTGTCATTGCAAGGCTGCTCTCAGGCCCAGTGTGCTCAGAGAATTACACCTCAGCACCAAGCTCTTTTCACTAAGGGTCCCTTCCATAATTGGAACTTGAACAAATGGCAGTAAAGTATACAGGAGCTTGCCTACCTAGAACAGGGCTCTCAGAAGAAAGATAAGCTCCCTCAGGTTCAGAAATGGCAGCAAAGCACATTCCCCCATACTCCAAGGCCGGCACGTGGTGGGTTGGCAGTGGGGCCAGGCACGTGGGGGAGGCCCCTCTCTGTGAAGTGAGTCAAGGCAGAAAAGAGGAAATGCCTCTACCTATCCTGTCCGGGGCCAGGGGCCTGGGAGGTGAGGAGGGACATGAGAAGCAGACTGGTGCCGACCCACAGGCGTGAGCCTCCCCTACCCAAGGGAGCAGGAAAGCCCCATGGGGGTCTCCCGAGCCCACAGGGTCACGGGCACGTATTCACTGCTAACCAAGCTCCCTTTAGATGGTCAGTGTGGTGATATCTGGAGCTTGCCCTGGAGTTTGAAAGGGCAGGTGCTGGAGAGCGTGGCTATCGGGAGCCGTGGGCAGATTTGTGGAGGGAGGTGGCATGAAAAATGGCCCTCAAGATCTCTCCACCTGAGGAGGCCACCCTGTCTTCTGCCCATCCTCCACCTGTCTTGCTCCTGGTTCCGCTCATTTTCTTCTCTCTCAGCCGGCCCAGCTGACTCACCACCCGTAAGACCAGGCCCACCGTGGGCCCTGCCCTGGGACTTGGCCTCCATGTGCCCCACCTGGAGACAGAGCCACTGCCCATGGAATGAGGCTCGGGACTCAGTCCAGACATTGGCTGAGCAGGAACAATAGCACCTGGCATCAGTGACCGAGGAAGGTGTAAAGACCCCATCAGACAAGGCAGGGAAGAGGCTTCTGCCCCAGTGATGGTGTGAACCCAGGGCCTGGGCTTATGGAAAAGCTCCTCGAAAAATAATTTAGAGAAAAATAAAACCAGCAACCTCTTTATTAAGTACCTCTACCTGGGACACTGCCACCCCTCGTGGCCAGCAGGGATAGAAGGGTATCCACTGGTTCCCTCTCATCTCCAGAGGCTGCCTGTGCTGAGCCAACCGTGGTCCCTGAGCCAGAAGCTCTGTCCCTTGGGTGGCTTGACAGGGCACTCATGCTGAGCAAATAAATCCACAAGGAAACGCCGAGAGCCTTGTCCTCCCAGCGCGAGGCTTGCTTCCACTTGGTGCTTCACGGTCAGTACGAAAACCTGATGCACAGAGATGTTCCGATTATGTTTCTCTGCTCCCTGCTTCCTTGAGATCAGGCCACTTCGAATGAGGTAATGAGACCACAATTTTCTCCCCAGGAATTGTTCTCAACATCCTCTTTGCTGGTGTCTCCTCATTCATCCCAGCCCTGCTCAGATGCTCCCCCATGAGGTCCCGGGTGCCCGTCAGGGCCCGGCTCAGCCCCGGCATCCTTGTTGACTCAGGTCCCTCAGGATGGACCACTTTCTAGCCAGTAGGGCATGGGTCCCAGCTCTCCCCATGTGGAGTGTAGGGGGCTTGTGGTGGGTTCTACTCCCATGGCAGTGTTAGCCAAGGAGTCTGCGTTTCCACCGGGTCTGGGGGAGCTTGGAGTCATCAAAGGAAGCTTCTGTGAAAATCTTGGAGTTGCTGTTACTTTGTCTGGGGTTCCAAAAACAGCATTACCCCGAAGAAGGGACCTAGACTGAGTCTGAGCTCCATAAATTAGCTGCCCCTGTGTGGGTAAGAACAGATTTGTTGAACTCGATTTTTGCATTACATTTGCATAATACTCTCATTTAAATAATGACAGAAGGTATGGAGATGGGAGGTGGGAGGGACGTGGGCTCTGAGCCTGAGGGCTCCCAGTGGAAGGAGCTCAAGAACAGAGCTGCCCCTCCCACAGTACGACCTCCACTGCCCAGAGATCATACGGCAAATGGTGTTTTCTGGTGGGGTCAGCGGGGCGGGGGAAGAAGCGTGCCGCCTGGCCCAGTCTCTGTTGCCCATTGTCACCGCGTGGAGAGGTGGAGAAGTCCCAGGAAGGCAGAAGGCTTGGACCAGTGTGAGGTCTGAACGGCATCCCCAAAACCCCATATGCTTCCTCCAAGTTGTATTAATCCTATTTTTTTAATTTCTGTATTTTATGATGCTCTGACATCCTGGGGCCTCACTGACCAGAGAAGGAACTGCCTCTCCCAGGGGTAGCTAATTCCTGGGGACTCCCTGGTGAGTGTGCCTTTCATGTGCAAACCGCCCAATCCAAGCCCTTGGCTCCAGCCACCTCCTACATGGGCTCCTGCACTCCCAGGCCAGTATTTCCCTACCCTGAATCACCCAGGGCCAGGAACCAGACAACTAGAGCCCAGAGCCCTCCAAAATTGCTGAAACGCCAGCCCTAGGCCTGCTCAGCTGGTCACCACACCTCCCCAGCTCCTTCCCACGATAAGGGCTCTGGGCCTGCTCACCCCTCACTCCTGCTGCCTCCCGGCTGAGCTGGTGCTTTCCCACATGGCCTTGCCTGGTATGCCATGCCCCCTCCTCTTGGGAACCTTAAGTAATAAACTCTCCTTTCAAGACAGCTGTCTCCATGTTTGTCATCTTATCATACCTAATTAAAATAAACCATCGGTACATCGCAAAACACAAGCCTCTGTCACCCTGGCAGCCGGGAATGAACAGGAGATGCCTTCCAGGTGCCCAAGCACTGGGCTGATAACGCTGATGGGCACAGAACAAGCTGAAGGTGCCACCCCCAGGAAGACTGCAGGAACTCTGAGAGGAGTAGCTTGTTCAGGGCCCCCCTGCCAGGGATTGAAATAATTATCACTAACACCATCTTCCAAAATAGCATCTTGCATCTAGATCAGGGGTGTCCAATCTTGTGGCTTCCCTGAGCCACATTGGAAGAAGAAGTGTCTTTAGCCACACATAAAATACATTAACACTAATGATAGCTGATGATGAGCTAAAAAAATCGTGAAGAAATTCTCATAGTTTTAAGAAATGTGACGATTTTGTGTTGGGTCCCATTCGAAGCTGTGTCTGGCTTCACGCAGCCCGCAGACTGCAGGTTGGAGAAGCTTGGTCTAAGTAGTAGCCCATGTGGGGACAGCTGCTCTATTTGCAGAGTGACTGTTCCACGTCACACATAGTGGGCTGTTTGTACATAAGCTAGCCTGCCTGCACATACGCTGTGCCCTATGCAGAAAGGCTGGCCTATATGCAGATCAGCTCACTTCTGGTTCCCCCAAATGCAAAAATGTTCTAATAAACATGCTACTCAGATTGGCTGATCAGAGGCAACTCACAGATCTGACATCAATTAGTTGCTCTGGACCTGACCTCAGTGTCCATCCTGAGGACAGCTGCTGGCCCAGGACACATACATGCCGATTCTCTCACCGTAGACCCCACCAGCTAAGTGGGACACCACCACAGGGTGTGGTTCATTTTCATGCATGTTAGTGCTGTTCTCTGTCCATCCTTGCAAAGCAGGCAAAGCAGGTGGTCAAGAGGGAAGCAAATGTCAGAACTGTCCTAGTTGTCTGTGAAGTCCCCCAGGCCTCAGCCTGTGGCTCTGAACCCGTTTTCCTGCCATGATGCTGGGCAGCATCCAGGATGTGCATCTGGGCTTCTGCCAAGCTTCCTGCAGGATAGTGTGGGGAAACTCTCCTTCCGCTTCTGAAATGATGCTGCTAAACGCCTCTGCCTACCCAACAGATAAACTGGTACTTGCAATATGCTTGCAGCTTTGGTGTGGGAATGGGGTTGCCTATTATGCATAGTTATATTTAATAAGAAACTAAACTGAAAGCTCACTGCAGTAAACAAGCATTTGGATTCTCATCCTGGCTCTGAAACGACTGGGAAATCGTTGGAGATTGATGCATCCCTAGAGGCATCTCTTGAACCCAGGGTCATCTGGCCTCCATGTGGCTGTGTGTGCACAGACGATTCTTCTCCAAGATGATCCTATGGGTCCTGAAAGACCTTGGCACAGGGGCCTCCAGACTGCGGTAACACCATCCTCCCTTCTGAAACCCAGGCAGAGAGGCTTGGAGAGTGGCACTGGGGAAATACCAGGAATGGCCAGCAAGAGGAAGAGACCCTCTGCCTGCCCAGTCACTGTGTGCCCAGAGAGAAGTGTGGGTGTGTAGGGAGGGACACAGCCCTGCCTCTGCTAAGGGAGAGATCTCCAAGGCTGCTGCCTATGGGGGCTGTGTGGAGGTACAGCCCCCACCTCTGCCCTGGGCCCCCAGCACCCAGCCTGCCATGGTCAGTCACAGCCTTCCCATGCCTTGAGTGTCTGGGGAGGGCCGGGAAGACCAGGAGGCACAGGGATGGAGTCTGGGGCTGATCTTCCTTGGAGATGCCCCAGCTTGTGGCCTCGCATTGGGCCTCTCCACGTGGCCTGTGTGTTGGGCCTGGCTCACCCCAGCCATCCTCACATTGTACAAGAGACCCTTGTCCCCACCGCGTTGCACCGCGTGTGGCACCCTGGGTAGAGGCCCAGCTCTGGAGTCAGACTGGGGAAAAATACGTTGGCTCTGCCAATGCTCACTGTGTGCTCCTGGACAGGTAACTAAACCTGTCTGTGCTTGTTTCCTCCTGTTAAAATGGGGACAATAATCAGATATACTTTAAGGTTTGTGCTTATTTTGAATTACACAAGAAACAGAGCTGGAGTCAAGGATTGTTGGCACTAATCATTTGAGAGACTATCCCAGGGAGAGCTGGGAATGAGTGGTGATGTCATGATCCGGCGCTGCTGAGCCTGAGGAGGTCTGAGAAGGCCCAGCGGAACCCTCTTGGGGGCCAGCACTCACGGCACAGGGAAATTCGGAGACCGGGCCAACCCCTAAGGACTCTGCCTCCAGAGTTTGTTCATTGTTCACTCATTCATTTAGCAGTTACGTGTGTCGCCCGGCGCTGCTCTCATGGATGGACTCTCGGCCTTTAATGTGCTCTCTCACCAAAGGGAGATGAGGGCAGCTGACAAAGGCCCCCTTCTGAGTTCCTGCCAGGGCCTGGATTCCAACGGTGAAACTTTCCTCTGGGATTAACCACATGGTGTTCAGGCATCTCAGAATCGTTCAGTAGGAGGCAACACCTTGGCCATGGAGCCGGGGACACCGACACAGGGAGGGGAGGCCTTGGCCGTGGAGCAGAGTGATTCCTAGTAGAGCCGCATGGGAAGCTGTGGCATATGGGTACTGCCTGTACTCTCTGGCTCACTTGCTTACTCATGTATTGCTTGTTTGCGCAGCACCTGCTCTCTGCCAGACACTCTCCTGGGTACAGGGATGCAATATCCCTCATGAGCTCAGACACATACAGGACAGCCAGACAATACAGCAAAACAGAAGTGAACACTGTTTTAGATGGTGAGGAGTGGCAGGAGGGGAAATCATGCGAGAAAAAGCAGGAGTGCAGATCATGACGGAGGGAAGTGCTGGAACCCAGAGGGGAGGCTTCAGGTGGTCCTGGGCTGAAGCAGGGGCTGGGTCAGGAGGAACAACTGAGGCTGGACGCAGAAGAGAACAGGGTGACCGGGCATAAGGCAGGGGGACACTGTTTGAGTCTTGGATGGAGAGAGTGTGAGTTGGGTGCAAAAATCCTAGAGAAGTAGCTACGGTCTGAGCTGCCAGGCACCAGGAGCGGGAGCTGTGAGCATACTTGTGGCCTCCCACCTGAGGCCACAGGAGGGAGACTCATAGGATGTCCTCCCTTTGCACTTGCTGCTTAAGGTCTCAGGGTGTCAGAGATGAGGACGTGTGTTCATGTGATCCTGCCCCTAGTGGGTCAGCTCATGAAGCAGGGAAGGCTGCCCAAGCTGACGCTAAACTCCCATAACTACCCTTGACCAAGCAGGTCTCTGAAAGGGGACTGTGAGTCCCACTGCAGGAAGGGACAAAGCTTAAAGCACCAATTCGCATTTTATCCTGAAGACCTGAGAGTCTTTCAAACTTATAGAGGTTTTTTTAGTTAAAGAAGAGGAGAAAATGTAAAGAAAAAGGAAAGGATAGGAATAAAATAGACCTTGAAAACCCAATGGAAACAAACCAAATTTGGCTTCTGATAATATAATTTCATAATGCTTCATTGAAATATCATGTACTTACAGAAAAGTGCTCAGTAGATTTTGAAAAACCAAGCTCACCCTGTGGCCATTACCTGGACACTGGAGCAGGGTGTGAGCTGCCCGCAGTGCCTCTGTGGTCCCTCCAGCGTGGCCTCCTCCAGGGAAAACACTGTCCTTACCCCAGCAGCACAGACTAGTTTCTTCGTGGAATTTCTTTTTCCCAAGGACCACAAAGGAAGCAGGGAGGCAGGGAATGGGGGGCAGTTTCCCTTCTTAAAATAATGTGACTGGAGGGAAAGTGGATACAGGCGGGAACCCTCAGCAAGCTCCAAGGAGCCCCACCGCCATTCAGTATCCGTCACGGAGCAGCCACAGTGAGGCCAAAGTTGCAGCTCACATTAAGAACAATTAACAGTTTTACACCACTTTTCCACATTCTTTTTAAAAAATTACGTTCTTGCATTATTTTCCCCATATGGATTTTTAAACATGAGAGTGCCTAAGTCGATTGGACGGAAGTTCAATCTGGTCTTGATTACCTCTGACTTCGTGAGTTAATGAGCGCTAAGTAACTCACCTTTCCTTTAATCTGGAAGCAGTGGCCCTGCCTGTGGGGTGGGGGACACAGGCTGAGAGTGGACCACAGGCTCCGAATCACCTATTCTGGTGCATGTGTCCTACTCTCAGGCCACAGATCCACAGGGTCAGACTGAGCTGCGGGGAGTGTGGCCCCACCCTGTTTCCCTTAAAGCAGGTTACAGAGGATTGACCTAGTGGGGTCACAGAGAGCACCGTGAGCCTGAGACCCAGGCTCTGGTCCTACCTTATCACGAACTCACTGTGGGCCTCAGCCTGGCCAGACCTCTCTCAGGGTCTCTGTTTCTGCATCTGTATAATGAGGCCCCATCTGTAGTGTTAGATGGAAACTGAGTAAGGACTAGAGGGGTTGGGGGTGATTCACCAACTCTTTACCCCTCAACAGAGCAGAAGGACAGCTTCCAGAGTGTGCTTCCAGAGGGCCCTGGGCGTGTTGAGTCCTAAGAGGAAGGAACCCCCATCATCATGGTACATGCTGTGTAACCCCACAGCCTGGCTCACTGTGTCCACTGGAACCCACGTCCTTGGGGTCAGAAACCTGGAAACAGCCACTCTGTTCACAGAGAAGCAACCTTTCAGTGTTTTCCTTTCCCCTTACCACAGGGATGGCCGTGTTAGAATTACACTCCTCTACACCAGCCAGGTGAGTTACTGCAGGCTTATGACTTCATAGGTCACCTGGCATGCATTTGTAACAAAATCTTTGATGTGATAAAGCAACAGACTCCATTGCAAAAAACATTAGCAATCTCTCCTCACTAAGTCACAACTTTGATAAAGTGTTTTCTATTCAAAAAACTTAGTGCAATTATGGTGCAGAGCTGAGATCTCAGCACAATTTCATTTACAATCAACCTGGCATCTCCAATGCACTAATTGAAGCATTATCACTATTGTCTTCCGTATGAAATATGCGCAAAGTATATTTCTTTCCCTTTATCCCCCCAGTAAATAGCATATTCTGGACATGTAGCATTTCAATGAATGTGGCAGTAGGCCACGGGGACCACTGACCCTCACACCTGAGAGGACACTGAGGCCCTTGGAGGTGGAGAGACTGCCCAATGCACACAGCTCATGTCAGTGCCTCTGTGATGGCTTTCCCCCCAGGTGACTGTCACCCCAACATTTTACTGACACACACAGAGTTCCTGGCTCTGTCCTCCCACCAGCAAACTTTGTGCATAGCCAGAGTCTCCTCCCGCCTGCTGCACTTGGGGTTTATAGAGAGCACTTAGGCCTGCAGGAGCTAAGATTGCACAACTGCACTCCAGGCTGGGGAACAGAGTGAAACTTCATTAAAAAAAAAATCCACAGCTAAGTTGATGCAAAAGCAGCATCTAAATCATAGACTAGAAAAAGCAGCCACCACATGTGACAGTGAAGCTTCAGAAACTGCCTTTGGGAGGTAGGAGCAAGGCAAAGATATGCCCTTTCTATGTACCCTTTCTATGCAACCTCGGGTAGAGTTACCGGCTTGTGCAATAATGCAAGAAAATGAACTAAATGTGGAACAATGGGTCAGGAATAAAAGGAAACCATCATTCTTTATTGACCCTATAAAAATCTACATTTTAAAAGGTCATAACAAATAAGAGAGTTCAACTGGACACAAGACTAGTAAACAAAACTATCAGCAGTACCCAATTCATAATTATAAAAAGCAATTTCATTTGACATCAACAAAAGTTATCAGTTACCTAGGAATACATCAACTAAGACAAGGGTAATAACTTTATGAAAAAATAAAGATATCAGTGAAGAATATTTTTAAAGATGTCTATAAATGGGGAGGTGTGGTGAGACCTGCATGGTAAAGCGATGAAGTCTCCCCAAGTGAGGTGATGAATTTGATGCAGTTCCCACCAAGCACACACCCATGGGGACACGTTCACCTGCATCTGTTTACGTGTTTTTTAAAACTTGACTGGCTGACTCCAAAAACAATACAGGACAATAATAACCAAGATACTTTTAAAGGAGAAAAAGTAAGTCGAGGATACATTACACCAGATATAAGCACACCATATAAATCCATTGCAATTACAGCCACATGATATCTTGGTAGAAGAGAAAAATAGACCAAAGGAAAAGAGTACAGAGCACCAAAGAAGACCCTCTTCTGTGTTGAAACTTAGTCTATTAGAAAACAAATAAAGTGCCCAATCGTTTGGGCAATTGGCTCTTCATTTTGAAAAAAGATACCTTTAGATCTATACCTCAAGACATACACAAAGGTTATTTTCAGGTGGACTGAGAAACTTTATAAATATAGCAAGACTCTTTAGATGAAAATATAAGAAAATATATTTTGAATACATTTTGTGGATTTCGCAAAATACATAGAAAAATCACATGATCAAAAGATTAATAAAATTGACTAAAATTTAATAATAAATATATCTATAATAATTTTTTAAAAAATAATAATAAAATCTAAACTTTCCCTTCCACAAATGATATGGAGACTAGGATAAGGTATTTGTAAAACATCTTGTGAACTAAAGATTTCTATTGAGAGTACTTAAAGGTTTTTAAGTGGTGCTGGCTCCCCTCTTAGGGGACTCTTAGTTCAAACAGGTTTCCTCTCATGGCTGAAGTGTTGAGTGCCTTTTCCACTCCCGTTCTCTCACAAGTGTGCAGAGGCAACTGACGTGTGATGTCACTGCAGACTGAATACAGAATTCCACATGGGAAACTTGTTTCCCAGGAGCCAGGCAGCAGGAGCATTCACACATCTAAACAATGCTACTCCTGTCACCAGTTTCTAAAGAAAATATAGTTATTTTCGTAACATGTTATGTTATGAACATAACATAATCCTTGATGTTCATTAGCATAATGGATTCATTATGAGTTTTCACTAATTGGTTACTTAATGTGATGGTTACTATTGTCAACTTGATTGGATTGAAAGATGCAGAGTATTGTTCCTGGGTGCGTCCGTGAGAGTGTTGCCAAGGGAGATTCACATTTGAGTCAGTGGACCTGGGAGAGGCAGACCCACCCTCAATCTGGGTGGGCATCATCTCATCAGTTGCCAGTGTGGCTGGGATAAAAGCAGGCAGAGAAATGCGGAAGGACGAGACTGGCTGAGTCTTCCGGCCTTCATCTTTCTCCCACGCTGGATGCCTCCTGCCCTTGAATACCGGACTCCAAGTTCTTCAGTTTTGGACTCTTGGATTTACACCAGTGGTTTGCCAGGGGCTCTCGGGCCTTTGGCCCCAGACTGAAGGCTGCACTGTCGGCTTCCCTACTTTTGAGGTTTTGGGACTCAGACTGGCTTCCTTGTTCCTCGGCTTGCAGCCTACTGTGGGACTTCACCCTGTGATCGTGTGAGTCAATACTACTTAATAAACTCCCTTTCATATACACTTCTATCCTATTAGTCCTGTCCCTCTAGAGACTAATACTCTTAAGATTTTAAATTGTTCTCCATTTTCATCTTTAACATGGTAAATGTTAATAGATAAACCATACTTATTAGGGTTCTCAATTACTTCTTATTATTTTTTTAATTGACACAATATGGCACATATTCGTGGGGTTCACAGGGATGCTGCAGTACATAGAATGAATCAAGGATTAGATCAGGGTGGCGAACACATCCATCGTCTCAAACACGATAATTTCTCCTCCTAGCTATCTGAAACTATGAATTATAGTTAACTATAGTCACCCTACAGTGCCAAAGAACCATAGGACTTATTTTTCCCATCCAGCTGTAATTCCATATCCTTTAAAAAATCTCTCCCTATCCGTCCCCTCTCCCTCCCCTTCCCAGCCTCTAATATCCTCTGTTCTACTTTTTACTTCTATGAGAGCAACATTTTTTAAAGTTTCCACATGTCAGTGAGAACATTCAGTATTTAACTTTCTGTTCCTGGCTTATTTCACTTACCATAATGTCCTCCAGTTCCATCCGTTTTGCCATGAATGACAGGACTTCATTTTTTTTTACAGATGACTAGTATTCCACTGTGTGTATATACCACGTTTTTTATCCAGTCATCTGCTGTTGGACACCTAGGTTGATTCCACGTCTTGACTATTGTCAATAAACATGGGGTTGCAGATATTGGTTTGATATACCGATTCCTTTCCTTTGGATAAATGTCCAGGAGTGGGATTGCTGGATCTTATGGTAGTTCTGATGTGGGGCAGGTGAGCCCCAAGGTGGAGTTTAGTCTGCAAGGGTTCTTGCCTTTGCCCAGGAAAGAATTCAAGGGCAAGCCAAAGGAAGAAGAAAACAGCTTTATTTATTTAGAGACGGAATCTTGCTCTGTCACCCAGGCTGGAGTGCAGTGGAGCGATCTCGGCTCATTATAACCTCCGCCTCCTGGGTTGAAGAGATTCTCCTGCCTCAGCCTCCCAAGTAGCTGGGATTACAGGCACGCACCACGACGCCCACCTAATTTTTGTATTTTTAGTAGAGACGGGGTTTCAACATTTTGGCCAGGCTGGTTTTGAATTTCCCACCTCGTGATCCGCCCACCTCAGCCTCCCAAAGTGCTGGGATGACAGGCGTGAGCCACTGTGCCCGGCCAAAAACAGCTTTATTAATAAAGAAGAAATGTTACAGCTCTGAGACGGTTCCTGCAGAGCAGGGCTACCCTCTCTGCCCTGTAAGAAGAGAAGAGCAGCTCGGGGCAGTTTTGCAGTCATGTTTAATCCACTTTTAATTTCACGCGGATTAAAGACGGTTTATGCAGAAATTTCTAAGGAAGGCATAGTAACTTTTGGGTCATTGAGTCATTGCCATGGAAAGGAGCGGTAACTCCCGGTGTCGTCATGGCAACGATAAACTTCCATGGCACTGGTGGGTGTGTCTGATTGAAAGCTGCTTCCGCCCCAGCCCTGTTTTAGCTAGTCCTCAATCTGGTCCGGTGTTCGAGCCCCACCTCTGGAGTTGAGTCCCACCTCCTACCTCAGTTCTGTTTGTAGTTCTGTGAGGAACCTCCACACTGCTTTCCACAGTAGCTGTACTGGTTTACATTCCCACCAACAGTGTCAAGAGTTCCCTTGGTTATTTTTTGTCTTTTTGATGAACGCCATCACAACTGGGGTGAGATGATATTTCTTTTTTTTTTTTTAATTTTTTTTTTAATTATTATACTTTAAGTTTTAGGGTACATGTGCACATTGTGCAGGTTTGTTACATACGTATACATGTGCCATGCTGGTGTGCTGCACCCATTAACTCGTCATTTAGCATTAGGTATGTCTCCCAGTGCTATCCTTCCCCCCTCCCCCCACCCCACAACAGTCCCCAGGGTGTGATGTTCCCCTTCCTGTTTCTATGTGTTTTCATTGTTCAATTCCCACCTATGAGTGAGAACATGAGGTGTTTGGTTTTTTGTTCTTGCGATAGTTTACTGAGAATGATGATTTCCAATTTCATCCATGTCCCTACAAAGGACATGAACTCATCATTTTTTATGGCTGCATAGTATTCCATGGTGTATATGTGCCACATTTTCTTAATCCAGTCTATCATTGTTGGACATTTGGGTTGGTTCCAAGTCTTTGCTATTGTGAATAGTGCTGCAGTAAACATACGTGTGCATGTGTCTTTATAGCAGCATGATTTATAGTCCTTTGGGTATATACCCAGTAATGGGATGGCTGGGTCAAATGGTATTTCTAGTTCTAGATCCCTGAGGAATCGCCACACTGACTTCCACAATGGTTGAACTAGTTTACAGTCCCACCAACAGTGTAAAAGTGTTCCTATTTCTCCACATCCTCTCCAGCACCTGTTGTTTCCTGACTTTTTAATGATCGCCATTCTAACTGGTGTGAGATGGTATCTCATTGTGGTTTTGATTTGCATTTCTCTGATGGCCAGTGATGGTGAGCATTTTTTCATGTGTTTTTTGGCTGCATAAATGTCTTCTTTTGAGAAGTGTCTGTTCATATCCTTTGCCCACTTTTTGATGCGGTTGTTTGTTTTTTTCTTGTAAATTTGTTTGAGTTCATTGTAGATTCTGGATATTAGCCCTTTGACAGATGAGTAGGTTGCAAAAATTTTCTCCCATGTTGTAGGTTGCCTGTTCACTCTGATGGTAGTTTCTTTTGCTGTGCAGAAGCTCTTTAGTTTAATTAGATCCCATTGGTCAATTTTGGCTTTTGTTGCCATTGCTTTTGGGGTTTTAGACATGAAGTCCTTGCCCATGCCTATGTCCTGAACGGTAATGCCTAGGTTTTCTTCTAGGGTTTTTATGGTTTTAGGTCTAACGTTTAAGTCTTTAATCCATCTTGAATTGATTTTTGTATAAGGTGTAAGGAAGGGATCCAGTTTCAGCTTTCTACATATGGCTAGCCAGTTTTCCCAGCACCATTTGTTAAACAGGGAATCCTTTCCCCATTGCTTGTTTTTCTCAGGTTTGTCAAAGATCAGATAGTTGTAGATATGCAGCGTTATTTCTGAGGGCTCTGTTCTGTTCCATTGATCTATATCTCTGTTTTGGTACCAGTACCATGCTGTTTTGGTTACTGTAGCCTTGTAGTATAGTTTGAAGTCAGGTAGTGTGATGCCTCCAGCTTTGTTCTTTTGGCTTAGGATTGACGTGGCGATGCAGGCTCTTTTTTGGTTCCATATGAACTTTAAAGTAGTTTTTTCCAATTGTGTGAAGAAAGTCATTGGTAGCTTGATGGGGATGGCATTGAATCTATAAATTACCTTGGGCAGTATGGCCATTTTCATGATATTGATTCTTCCTACCCATGAGCATGGAATGTTCTTCCATTTGTTTGTATCCTCTTTTATTTCCTTGAGCAGTGGTTTGTAGTTCTCCTTGAAGAGGTCCTTCACATCCCTTGTAAGTTGGATTCCTAGGTATTTTATTCTCTTTGAAGCAATTGTGAATGGGAGTTCACTCATGATTTGGCTCTCTGTTTGTCTGTTGTTGGTGTATAGGAATGCTTGTGATTTTTGCACATTGATTTTGTATCCTGAGACTTTGCTGAAGTTGCTTATCAGCTTAAGGAGATTTTGAGCTGAGACAATGGGGTTTTCTAGATATACAATCATGTCATCTGCAAACAGGGACAATTTGACTTCCTCTTTTCCTAATTGAATACCCTTTATTTCCTTCTCCTGCCTAATTGCCCTGGCCAGAACTTCCAACACTATGTTGAATAGGAGTGGTGAGAGAGGGCATCCCTGTCTTGTGCCAGTTTTCAAAGGGAATGCTTCCAGTTTTTGCCCATTCAGTATGATATTGGCTGTGGGTTTGTCATAGATAGCTCTTATTATTTTGAAATACGTCCCATCAATACCTAATTTATTGAGAGTTTTTAGCATGAAGGGTTGTTGAATTTTGTCAAAGGCCTTTTCTGCATCTATTGAGATAATCATGTGGTTTTTGTCTTTGGCTCTGTTTATATGCTGGATTACATTTATTGATTTGCGTATATTGAACCAGCCTTGCATCCCAGGGATGAAGCCCACTTGATCATGGTGGATAAGCTTTTTGATGTGCTGCTGGATTCGTTTTGCCAGTATTTTATTGAGGATTTTTGCATCAATGTTCATCAAGGATATTGGTCTAAAATTCTCTTTTTTGGTTGTGTCTCTGCCCGGCTTTGGTATCAGAATGATGCTGGCCTCATATAATGAGTTAGGGAGGATTCCCTCTTTTTCTATTGATTGGAATAGTTTCAGAAGAGATGATATTTCAGCATTGTGGTTTTGACCCTGAGAAGAAACAGTTTGAGCATCTGTGGTGCTGGGAAGTTCTTGAATGCCACCCTCAGGAGTTCTAGGGTCACCCTTCTGAGGACGACAGGAGTGGAGGAAGGGCTTCCAGCAAGAGGCAGACCTTACCAATGAGTAGAACCTGGCAGCAAGAGAAGAACTAGATGTGGGGGCAGGAGGGTCAGATGGGAGAGGACCCGCTCATGGCAGGTGCCCTACCTGCAGACGCTGCAGTCCTCCCCACACTCCAGGCCCACCGCACCACAGGGCACAGCCTGGCAGCCTTCTCTCAGCCACGGTCCCACTCAGCACCTCTTGTACATGTGGAAGGGGCTCCATGCTCTGCAGAGGAGCAGAGGAAGTGGGGATGTAGGGAAAATAGAGAGCGGTGGAAAACTGGGTGGGCCACAAATGGCCAGGATCTTCCCTCCGCCATCGTGTGTGGGCTGGGTGGTCACAGTGTCCTCAGAGCCTTGACATCTGCACCTGTGAGATGACACTTGCCTGCCCACCTCTGAGCATCCCAGTTGTGCCCACAGCCCCGGGTGAGGGCAGGGCCGAGACGTGTGCCCAGATTGCTGTATTGATGTTGAATAGACCTGCTGGAAAGGGTTCCAGACGCTATCACACATGGAGTGGGACAGGATGAGCATTCCAACCTTTCATTGAAAGTTCTGTTTATATGTAGCTGCCAAACACCTTGGTGAGTGGACTATTCTTCCAAGATGGAAATGAACTTGTCCTACCCAAAATGGGGCAGTGCTGTGGTTCAGCAGGAGACACACCCCCAACCCAAAGCAGGTGTGTGAGGAGGGGGTGGCAAAGGGGATGCATGCCCCTATCACAATGGGTTTTCGTTCACAGCAGGACTCCCTGGAGGTCCTCAACCAGGTGGCACCTGAGTCGGGGCCTGGGGACTGGCTAGAGTCAGCTGACAGCAGCTGGAGCACACGTCAGAAAAACACAACCCACTGGCCTAGAGCTCCCGTCCCTGCCCTGTCTCTAACCTGGCCTTTGATGCCTTTTATTTTTCTTTCCTCAAATGCACATTATTAACTGCAGATGCCCAGCTGAGAAGATGAGAGAAAGTTAATGAAATTACACGAGTGCTTTGCTGAGTTCTCTTTCAAACTACAGCTTGTTAAGTTAAAACAGCAGTGTGAAGGGTGTAGCTCTCTGTGAAGTTTCTGGATGTGGCCCTGGCCTCAGGGAGGCTTGTGGGGTGGTCAAGGAAGCCTGGCAGAAGGTAGTTCATGGCAGAGACACCAGCCACATGTGGGCCTTCCTGTGTGGGCCTTGCCTGTGTGGGCCTGTCTTTCCCTTGCTGGTCTCCTGTCTCAAGTTCTCCCATCCCTGCTTCTCACGTCTGTGGGCCTGACCACTCACTGCCTTGATACACCCAGCTCCTTGCCCTCCAGCCTGGGCTCAGGTGCACTGCCCCGCAGGACTACAGGGTCATTTCCATGACTCAGTTCCTGGTTTGCCTGTCACCCCCCACCTCCCCTTCTGCAATTGCCTGTCCTCCCACCTGGTTTTATTTTCTTCATTTCCAGTTTTTATTTCTCATGCTTTTTGTTTCTTTTCCCTGTAGGAGTGTGAGCCCTGCGAGGAAGGAAACCCCAGCTCGTTAGGCATTCGTTAGTGTGAGCAAGTTGCTGCCATCAGTCAGATGGGTAACGTGGTGCCTGCCTTTGGGGCTGTGAAGGGGATTGAATGAGCACAGCTGTGTGTTTGAGAGTGCCTAGATGTGAAGTGTGTTAGCCTTAGAGCATTGCACGTGGTAAGCACTATTGTGAGTGCCTAGATGTGAAGTGTGTTAGTCTTAGAGCATCGCACATGGTAAGCCCTATTATCATGACCATTGTCAGCATTCACTGCTGTGTACCCAGCACCTTGCACGGGGCGTGGCACGTGGGAACCCCCAGTTGACAGAGTCCAGTGAAAGGAAGAATGAGTGAGTGAGCGGGTGAGTGGGTGAGGGATGGTGCCCTGCACAGGGGACCTCCCCCAGCACGATGCAACCTGTGCTCTCAGGCCCAGCCTCTGTCATTTAGTCGCTTTTTGTTTCAAGTTCCCAGAGTGAGTAGTAAATACTTCAACCAGTCAGAGTTCTCAAAAAAAGCTCAGTGAACATGTGTAATGATTCATTCAGCATTTGCTCAGTGCCTACATAAAGTAGGCTGAGGCTAGAAATGGCAACTAGCACATACACCATGCCCTGGGGATCGAAATATAACAGAGGAGAAAGCCATGTAAAATGAATTTTCAAAGGCATTTGAGACCTAAGATCTCGGGGAAATGACTGTGGGACGGTGGGATTACTGGCGTTCCTTCCAGATGCTACAGATGATGCCCCGTGGCAGCTCTTCCCACAGAGGGTGACTTTTATGAAGTCCTCAGGGGCTGCACCTCAGCATTTGGCAGCCCAGCTTGAACCCGAGCCCCTTTACTTCACAGCTCTGAACCTCACTTCTTCAACTGTGAAATGGGAACAGGAATGGCAAAGCCTGCCTTGGAGGCTGCCTGAGTACCGAGGGACCCAATCAACGCGTGCAGTGTGCGTGGCAGCGCGGGAAGCTGCATACTGTTCACATCTCCTCCTCTTCTCCAACAGTCCTGGGTGCAGTGTGTGCGGGAAGCTGCATACTATTCACGTTTCCTCCTCTTCTCCAAAAGTCCTTATGTCGTCCATGGCATGGGCGGGAAGCTGCATACTGTTCACATTTCCTCCTCTTCTCCAACAGTCCTGGGTGCAGTGTGTGCGGGAAGCTGCATACTGTTCACATCTCCTCCTCTTCTCCAACAGTCCTGGGTGCAGTGTGTGCGGGAAGCTGCATACTATTCACATTTCCTCCTCTTCTCCAACAGTCCTTGTGTTGTCCATGGCATGGGCGGGAAGCTGCACACTGTTCACGTCTCCTCTTCTCCAACAGTCCTTATGTCGTCCATGGCATGGGCGGGCCAGCACTGGGCCTCAGTGCTTCTGATTGTGCCATTTCAACTTCAGTGAGACGCATTTTTTTCCCACTGGCAGCTCAGGTAAGTCCCTTACCTCCCCAAAACAGCACCCTGTGAAATCACCTTCTTGCAGCCGGGTCAGACAGTTCGCCTTGTAGGTTTAATGAACGGTCTCCTGCATTTATCTCAGCTACTGCAGCCCAGTGTCTGGGGAAAGGCTGAGGGTGGTCTGAGGGCTGTGCTGGGCACTTTTTCAGGCTGCCAAAGCCTGTTCTTGGGAGGCAGCTGACCTCATCAAAAGGAGTTCAAGCAAGGGGCTGAGGGGCCGCATCTCCCGAGCACGGCAGACCTGGGGAATCAGTTTGGCCTTCCTTGTTCAGGTTGGGGACACCTCGCCCCATCACCCATCCCACCACACTAGGCTCTGCATCTCCCTGTCTGCTCCTTTACAACAGTTTACTATGGAATGCCCTCAGGGATACAGGAGTGCATCCAGGTGAAGCCTGTGGGGGAAATCCTACCACGTCTGCCATTTGCTGAACTTCTCAAAACTTAGCCTCAGGACCATTAAGTCTCCCCTGGTTTTGGTGGGGATGACCAGCTTTATGCCCCATTTCCTTATGCCTGGGCATGCGATGGACAGGACACTGACCTCTCCATTCCCAGTGCAGGCATCCGGGGGCAAATACTCCCTGGCCACCTTTGACTCTCAGCTGGCTGCTCCATGCTGCCCGCGTCTTAAGACCAGGAAATACTCCATATTTGCCCCTTTCTATTGGCCTTTTCCTGAGCCCAGCTTAGAACATGCAAAACCCAACTATTACTGTAACATAATTAATTACTCCTATTCCTACGTCACTGTTAATAAGATCTCCTAGGCCATTTCCACGTCTCAGGTCTAATGAAGGCGCTAGAAACGCAGAAGAGAAGTAAGATACACTGTGCCAGCCTTTGGAGGCTGCCGAGTAGATGACCCTGGAATGTTCCCTTTTCCGCACTGCGCTGGACATGCCAGTTAAATGACCCTCAGTATTACCTTTTCCACATTGCACTTGACAGAACACCGATTTGATCACAGAAAAGCACTGAACTGACTCATAAATTTGGGGCAGGTTCCCTACTTTACTTTCGCCTTGGAGATGAGCACACATTTGTTTGTGAAAGCTTCAGAGAAGTTTTGCAATAATCAATCATTTTTACTCAGGGTTTCCTGAAATTTCCTGATTATAGAAATCAATTTTTAAAATATTTTTTGTAGAATGATACTAACATTCCTCAAAATACTGGTGATCCAATAAACGTGGATCATGGCTACTGTGGATTCAGTGTCAGAGACAAGGAAACCAGGGCTTCTGAGGCAGAATTCACTAGGTTCACCTTGGGAGTCGACTGCAGAGTGAAATGAACCAGAGGGCACCCTTGCCCACTCTTACGTCTGGGCCTTTATGTCCCCACCTTTTCTCTGTTTTTACTGGTGTCTGCACACTGTATTTGTGTGGCGTGTCAAGGCACAAATGTACAGGGAATGTCAAATCAGAAAAGTTCACTCTCTGCCTTGGCAGCTCTCATCTGCAGGAGTGTGTGTGCACGGGGGTAGTGGTGCAGCCAGTGAGCACAGCACATTCAGCTGGCAGCACCCCGAGATGAGGATGAAGTGACTGGGAAGGTCACAGGAGAGGAGGGCTGCAGGTCCCGGGTTCTTCATGGAGGACAAGGTGTTTGTATGGGGTCCTGGAGGAGAGGCACGAGGACCTCTGCTTTATCCTAGCTTGCAGCAGGCTAGAAACACCCAACAGATAACTCCCCAAAAGGGAATAACATGGGACAACTTTGCCCCTTTGACCCTACAAATAGGTTTTATTTCCAGTACGATGAGCAAGCACGCTGAACTGTCTTGCAGTTGCCCAATGGGTTCTTCCCACCCACTGTACAGACAAAACCAATTCACCGAGACTGTGGTACTGCACTAAAGAAACAGTTTAATTGATGCAGCTAGCCACGTGGGAGAAGGAGCTGCTACTCAAATCAGTCTCCCAGAAGAACGGGAGGTTTGGGTTTTTCAAGGATTGTTTGGTGGGCAGAGGACCAGGGAGTGGGTGCGGTTGATTGTTTAGGGATGCAGTCATAGGGTGTAGAAAACGATCCTGTCACGGAGTCTGCCTCTGGGTGGGGAGGTGGGAGTGCATAGGACCAGTTGAGTCATGAGCCATGGGTCTGGGTAGGGTCAGTCGGTTGGCAGAATGCAAAAATCTGGAAAACAGCTGAAAAAACCAAACTCAGGCTCTACAATAGTGTTGTTATCTACAGAAGCAATTGGAGAAGTCACAAATTGTGTGACTTCTAGCCATATGACTTCTGAACAATAAGGAATTACGGAAACTATGTCTACATTTTAGCAGAGTTCGGGCTCCTCCCGAAATCCTAATCACGTGGCCTTTCATTCGTTTTTGGTCCTCAAGGAAGGAGGGCTTTAGTTTTAGAGAGGGACTAGTATTGTTTTATAACTAAATTTCTCCCCGGATTAGTTTAGCCTGTGCCCAAGCATGAGCAGGACAGCCTGCCTGTGAGGCTAGAGGTAAGGTGGAGTCAGTCATGCGTGACCTCCCTCGCTGTCATAAGCTTTGCAAAGGTGGTTGCAGTCTTTCTCTGGTCAGAACACATGGTGCAGCCATCTGAGATCTTTGCAAATGGACAGTAGCAAGAGAAGTGGAGAAAGAGGCCAGAGTGTGGTGAGTTCCACCTCACTGAAGGCCAGCAAGGGGCGTGGATTGGCAGGATAGTATCCAGTGTGGAACACAGGAGGAGCACCAGTGAAGGGAAACCAGGTCGGGAGCATCAGCCGTGGGAAATCATAGAGGGAATCCTTGTTCTCCTGCTGCTTCCTGGGGTCTGCAGTCTCCCTGTCCATCAGACGCTGGCCCTCCTCGTGGCTTGCTGACTGTGCTTTATGAAATTCATGCTCACATTTCCCCATATTTTCTGAAGCAGTGGTGAGTCTGGTTCTTGACTGGTTTTGTTTCCAGACGGGTCCCTTCTGTCTTTTTACTCCCCACTTCCAGTGGGCACGTGGGTTTCCCAGGGCCTCAGGCCTTCTGTCTGCTCTAGGGGAAGCTGGGGACGTCTGGACTGTCCTCATAGAAGCGGAGACGTTTTGCTGCACCTTAGGGAATGGGGAGCAGTGGGGAGTCTTATGGAATCCCTGGTCTCTACTCCACCCCCGAGCTCCTGCTGAGAGGCCTGCTGTGCCTGTGCCCTCCCTGGGGGTGGCACAGTCCAGGATCTCCCCACCTGGCATCCTCTGAGGTGGATGCTCCTGCCTCTGAGACAGGCAGCCCTCTGCTTGCTGGCTGCTCCCCAGCATCTGTTTCTGACTCACTGCGCAAAACGGACAGGAAAGTTGAGGGTCCCTGCCCAGTGTCTGTCTCCAGGCACAGAGTCTCAGCGCCAGCTCTCAAAACTCTGTCTGCTCACCTGGGCAGCTCCAGGAGGCGGGGGAGGAGTCAGGAGCACAGCAGCCCCTTGAAACTTCCCAGGATGGCTGGTTTGGGGGTTTATCACATTATTTTTCTCCCTCTGGTTTTAGCCACTGTAGGCCAGTTTGTTCACAGATTTTTACCAACTTTGGCTCATTTCATTACCTTATCAGAGGTGGGAATTCTGAGGTCCCTAAGCCAGAGGCTTTCAGGGATGTGGCTCCCTCTGCCGCCCTGGCAGGGAGGGCGCAGGAGCCCCAGGTGGAGCCTCTGACCTAGATCCTTTGGCTCTAGAGCCTGGAGCCTTACCACAAGGCTGCCTGTGGGTTTGGCGTCGGCCTGGAGCCCAGGCTGCTGGTTATCTGGAGACAGCCTCCCTGTAAGATTTCTCTGAGACAAGAAACAATTATGCAAATTATCCTAATTCTGTTTTAAAGAATAGAGAGATTGATTGCAGAGACAAACCATTTAGGCAGGCAATGTAGAAGGTGTTTCCATGGCTAATCTGCCTTCAAAGGAGAGGGATTTTGTTTGTAAACTTCAGACCCAGAAAATTGATTGTTCTGTCAACTTTAGATAATTATCTGTCCTCCCTGAGGCCCTAAGCTTAGCAGAAATGTTCTTTCTCTGAATCAGTACTCAGCTTTGGATCTCTGTTGGGTTCCCTGTAGAGTGCTAAATCAGATTCCCCCAAAGCAGTGGATCAGGAGCCTTCCTCCAGCCACAGTGCCCATCCTGCCTGCAGAAGAATGGACAGAGGGATGGGAGGGCTGCAGAGCTGGCACTGTGTCCCTGGAGGGGCTGGTGGGGACTCACTGTTCGGGGGACAGGGGAGGCAGAGTCCACACTCAACTGCTGCGTGGAGATGGGCATGAAGGGCAGGCAGGTCTGGCCTTGGCCTTGCGGTTTGTTTCCATTAAAGACCTTCAAGACCAGAAAGGACCAATAGGGCTGGACTATGCAGGGAGAGAAGAGGTTCTAGGGAACTGAGTTCCGAAGTCTTCGTCTTCTCACTGTGCAATGGGGTTCGCCTATAAAGCAGGCTGCTTGTCCTCGGGAGAGCTCATTGTGGAGAAACATCACTGGACAGAGCCCCTCCTTATCTGCATCAGACTCCTCTGGTCTCCCCGGTTGCCTTTTTCTCTGCCCCTAAGGGCACCTGTTCCTGGAGAGGCTCTCAGGACAGTATCCTGGACACCCCCTGCCTGGACACCCCTTGCCTGGCACCCCTCCTCTCCACAATGTCATCAGAGAGCTCCACCTGCCCTTCTAGCCCCCTGGTCCAGCACTGCTGGTCATGAGGTTTGGGCCCTGTGACCTGCCCAGATCCAAGCTGTGGGGAAAGTTTGCTGAGACCAGTTTGGGGAACAGAGGGGCCTTGTTGTACCATTTGTTCTGGGCACAGGGGACCTCCTGCATCGTCTATCTCCTCCATGAGATGCTAGTTTCAGGGATTCCTTGGGGACACTGGAGAGCAGGGCTGGCTCAGGCAGGGGCCTGACCATAGTCCAGACAGTGCAGACCCTACCTGAGGTGCCACATGGGCCCTCATCAGTCTTCTCTTCACACAGTGGAGTCACTCCTGTGCCTCCCCTGTCTGCACTCCATTGAGCCGGGAAAGGCCTGCAGTAGCCAATGCCCACATTTGAGTTTCAAATGTGAATATACCCAGGGATTGCAATTTACCAAAAGACGAAGGAAAAGGCCTCTCCCAGTACTTGGTCAACATTATTCTGTGGTATTTTTCAGATGAAATTAGCATTTAAGCCAGTATACTTTTAGTAAAGCAGATTATGCTCCATAATGTGGGTGGGTCTCATCCAATCAGTTGAAGGCCTTAAAGGAAGAAATACTGACCTCCCAGGGGAAGAGGGAATTCTGCCCCTGGACTCAAGCCACTCTTCCTTGGATTCTAGCCTCTGTAATCACACGAGACAATTCTGGACATCTCCTCCTCTCTTTTCTGTTTCTCTGGAAAACCCTGACTAATGCAATTCTTGTTAAGCTGCTTTTAAGAAGTGTGAAGAAAATATTAAAAAGATGTAACTAAGAATTTTGAGTGGACGATCTAATTATTTCACACTGGCTGAGATCTCCCTGATGTTGACATTGCAATGACACTGTGCACTTCTTGGGGTAAGAAAAAGTGCAGTCTCAGTATCCCTCCCACTAAATAGGAAGGCAAATTGCCATTTCCCGAAAAGTCCAGAATAGTAAGTAGGTTGACGAGTAACTCTTGAAGTTACATAAGACAAATCAGTTGCAACAGAGGATCATAAACCCCTCGTGTATGGAAGGAAAACAAGTTTGTCAATGTGCAAACTGTAAGTCTAAGTTCCTACTTCTGTAAAAAGTAGAGTTTCCTCTTCAAAGACTTTCCTTCCCATCTCACTAGAAATAAATAGTAACTTCTCTTAGAAGCAAAATTTATTCAAAGACCCGTGCTAACATTCTTAAACATCTGCTAGCCCTAATAAAGAAATCAATGTACTTTATGTTCTTAGCTCCCACAATTTAGCCTAAATATTTGCCCTGGCATGCTTATACTAGTCCAAGCAAGCTTTAGGTCATTGCCTGTTCCTCTTCTTTATTCGAAGGTGTTTTTACTTTTTTCAGCATTCCACAAGTTACTTCCTCCTTCCTTTGTTCTCCTCTGCCTTTTCCTCTTTAAAAAAGTTCTAAGTTGCTAGCCAATCGGGACAAATACAGAATGTGAGGTCCCGTTCCAGCCACTGGAAACTGGACACAGCAGTAGGGTGGATGCGTCAGGTTATAAATGACCCTGTCTCCTTTGCTCAGTATACTGTTGTGGCAAAACTGCTGGCGAGTGTACACTTTCTGCAGAAATTAAAAAAAAAAAAATGGCCTTGCTGAGGAAATTAAATTTACATTCAAGTGCTATTTCTTTACCGCACTGGGAACAAGCATTTCAAACAATTTCAACCCTGCTGGACCGCATCAAGTGAGGGCCGGGATGGAAAAGCGGCCGTGCCGAGGTGCCCCGGAAGCAGCCTCCGGAGTGTGCCTCAGAGTTTCTGGCCATTTCAGCTAAGACTTTTCTTCTGACAGACTAGAAGTGAAAAAAAGAATTATTTACTTTGCTGGGAAATGTGACAAAAGGTTAAAATTCTACTAGTTCATAAAATATTTGAAGCTAACTTTGTTTTTATAAATAAAATTGTATTTACAATTTAAGTTTTAGTTCTCATCCTTGCTGTTATAAAAGTTATTCTAAGTTATGTCAGTCTTTGAGGGTAAATGTAGAGTATTTAAAATAGCTTATATTTGGAAAACTGAACAGTGTTTGTTGTCATTATTTTACTTTGTTCTTGACCACATTGGTCCCAGAAAAAGTCAAGGTCTTCACCCACGGATTCAAGATTCTTGTGGCAGCTGCTGAATTCTTTTCCAACAATGCTTGGGCCTCATCAGCGTCATGTTTATGCACTACCCCAGCCCCAACCACAGACATGGGCAGGAGGAACAGAGCTCTACCGTGTAGCGTCACTGCCAGTAAGAGTCTGGCTCTCCCATGAAGCATTACTCTTCCTCTGCATGTATTTTAGAATTTCAAAAGCCATTTGGCCTCCATTTCTTTAGATTGTGGATAAGATCCATAAACTTGTACTGGGGTCACTGTTCCTCCAGCCTCTTTAGCACGTATCTGCAGTCTCATTTCCAGGCTGTTTCCTCTATGGGCCACTGACTGCAGAATTCCCAGATGAATCCACTGCCCATTCCCTGTAGCCACATCTCCAAATCCACAGCCGTTCTCAGCAGCTGCCTGCACACTCACATCCCAGAGGTCAAGTTGCCACAGCTGGTGTGTGTTTCCAGCCACTAGGCAACCCCAGGTCTTCATCTGAGCACCCAGGGCCAGAAGTCTCACCCTGTCCCCCGTACCATCCCTTCCCAGCCAGCCACAGTTTCCTTCCTTCTGTTGCCCACACAGTGCTCTCAGCCCCAGATGCCCTTCCTGACACTTCCTCCCAAGGAAACCCAAGTCCTCCGTCAGGGTCCACCCAAATGTCCACACCCTCTGGTAGCCTGCCCAGCCCCAGAGGCTCCCCTGAGCTCCCTTCCCCCATTAGAGCCTACAGAGGCAGTGCTGCCCAGCAGACATCTCGGCTGGGAGTCAAACAGAGCAAGGCTATTTTGGTCCCTCTCTCCACTCTATGTGACCCTGAAATGTGCCCTGGCCTTAGGAAACATTCAGCTACATCAGAGAACGTGAGTATGCATGTGGTTTGTATAACACAGGCAAGACATGGTTTTTAGATACGTTCAGAATAGATAGTTACAGAGAACAGGTATGTTACATGTGGGAAGGAAGAGACACAAGGGCCAAGAGATACTTAATATGCATGAGGCTCCTGGGCACTAAATGTTCAATTCACAATGTGCCTTTATACAAGAGACACCTAAACATGCAGAACCATGGGGCCTTTGTTCACCACCATTCCTGGTGCCCATTCTGGTCCCATGCGTCCTCTGCCCAAGAAACACGTAGAACCCATGGCAGTGCGACAGCTGCTTCTTGGCAACTCCACCATGATCAGGCACACTTGTCCCATGTCTGTCCCGTTGAGCCGGTGTGTGTCATAAGCCCTTCAGCTGTGAGCACTCTTGCCCAGACCTCGGCTCTGGTCCTCGTGGTCACACCTGAGTGGGTGAGGTTGACTAGCAGAGAAAGAAGAGAACTGATGAATGTTGACAGCACAGGAATCAGGTCATACGGCCCTCCCATCTCCTTCCCTCAGCTTCTTGCTGTGTTTTATGAATGGATTTTATAAACCTGTGATTCGAGCATCCTCAGTTGCTTCTCGAGCCTTTCCGCTCCATGAACTCTGGGACAGCTTGCCTGGTACTGCAACTGGAGGACATCATTGCATCCAGAGAGCTTCCCACATGACAGTCTGTGAGCAAGGGACTTCGCCTCCCTGGATGGTGGTTTTCTTTTATGTAAAAGATGTGATCGTAGTCTCTATTTCTCAAGGGTGCTGTGAGAAACACACAGAATAAGGCCACGTGAAAGTGTGTGGCAGGTAGCGGATGCTCAGTAACGTGAAGCCTGCCCTTCCCGTAGCCTTTCTCTTCCTCCACTAGGTCTAGACTTCACATTGTCCCATGGTTCAAGATCCTTGGTTCATCCCAAGTCTTATCATCATCCCAGAAGGTTGGAGGCAGCTCCTGGGGAAATCCAGCTTCACGGTCCCACACTGATCACTTCCCCTGGGCATGGCCTGGTAAATGCAGCTCAGATCCGCTCCCCAGGCAAGTCAAGGAAGTTGCTGCCCAGAAACCAAGTGAGGACATTTACAAGAACCGGCGGCGGCGGCGGCAGCAGCAGCAGCAGCAGCAGCAGCAGCAGCAACTGGATTTGCTTTTTCACCAGAGGATCCAGATTTCCCTGTGGCCTTGCAAACAAAAAAGAAGGAAGACGGAGCAGCACAGTCATCCCTTTGTGAAAAAAGCATTCAGGTAACTGAGTGACTCAGCAAGCCTGGGTCTTGGGGAAATTACGAATACCTGGTTGAAGGGCAGTCCTCAGGCAGAGCCCCTGAGACCCGTTGAACTCTAGAGTGTGGGAGCAGAGGAGATTCATGGCCTGCCCAGGGGCAGTGTCCACAGGGGCAGAGTGCCCCCAGGACTCGCCCTGGCTCAGTTAAGGACTCCCCTCAGGATCTGCAGAGGTGCAAGGCAGGGTGCAGCTCTGCCTGGACTGAGCTGGAAATGCAGCCGTGTGGCTGAAGTGGCCACTTCCTGCTTTCTGTAAAGCAGCCACAGGGAACTGTGAACAGGTAAGACCCTTACTCTTGATTACTGAAGAACTAGAACCCAGGCTCCCTTGACCTTCTCTCCAAAAACCCAGATGACACGAGGACCCTCTCCCAGCTGAAGGGGCAGATTCATGCTTTAGAGTGTGGGGAGTCAGTGTGGGGGCACGTGAGTGTTTAGCTTAGGTGTGGGCCTCACAAAAGAGTCAAAACAAGTCAGCCAGGACTCCAGCAGCCTTCATTGTGTGAGAGATGCCAGCACTGTGGCCACAGCCTGACAGCTGCGCAGGCCACATAATGTGTGGGGCCGAGTGGAAAACGTGGGTTTTTTTTTGCTGTTGTTGTTCAAAATCATGAGCTTCCAGGGGCGGCAGCAGAGCTTTAAACTACTCTGGGGCCCTTCTGAGCACAGGACTTGGTATGACTGCACAGGGATACCTGGCAGGCCAAGTGCAGGGACAGAGCGGTCTGCCCAGAGGCCAGCAGGTCCCCAGTCAGTGTCTGGCACCAGCTCCCTTCATGACCTGGGCTGGCTCAGTTCCACGGGACTCCCAAGGCTGGAGGCTTCCCTGGAACATCATCCTCAGGGATTTCCCAACAGGAGCAGCCTCTGGCTTCAGATCTGTCCTTGTTTGACTCATAAATTATCACTCAGACTGAGAAAATTAACACTCAGTGATTCCTGAAAGGGTGCCCAGTGCAAAAGATAATTTTCAAAGTGAGTTCATCGGGGGATTTAATAGCCAGGCAATGTCCATTAAAACAGCGACAAACATGGGGAGAAAAGGAAAAGTTCCAACTGGAAACTCATGCTGGCTTGACAATTGTTCTCAGGGAGCAGAACAGAAGTGGGCATTTTCATTCTGGTTACACCATCAGCGATACCTCCACGGAGCCTCTCAGCTGGTTCCTCCTGGGTCTGGGCCACAGGCCTCCCAGTATTGCCGGTCTCGGAAGACATCTGTGGGCAGGTTCTGTAGAGGGAATCTGAGGCTGTGTGGGATGAGCTGCAGGACCCCATGTGGGGAAAGGCAGGAGGCAGCACCAGCTCCTTCACCAGGACCTGAGGGTACTGTGGCTCATCAGGGGCCATCGAGGACATGGAGACCCTGCACAGTGTTTGAGGAGTCCTGCTACATCAGTTTATTCTGGTTTAGGTGGTTGAGGGGAGACTCAGTGAAGTCTTGGGGGTTCAGAGCTACACTGCCAGCCTCTGGGACAGCAGCCCCAGTGTCCCCCGACCCAGGCCTTGCTCCTCCCTGCTGATGAACGCCCACTCTGCTCCCAGATGCACACCTGTCCTGAAGACACCCGGTTCTCATGCTCTTCTCTGCAGCACCTGAATTGGGCATTCCTGGGTAAAGCAGTTTAAGTTACTTTCACTTTTATCCACTTGTTTCCGTTATTTCAACCATGCATGTCCCTTGTGTATGTAGGATAAAGCTGTCTAAGAATAAAGGTCCATGATTTAAAGTTTTTTCCTCTTCTTTCCCTGTCCTGACCACCTGATCATAAACTTGTAGAAATAAAGTGGATCTCATGTTGTGTATCTTTCGATGCATCTAGAGAGATGGTTATATTCATATAAATAAACGGGCACATCCAGCACACTATTTCTAGTTGTCGTCTGCTAATAAGTTTACATCTGGTAAATGCCAGTGTTTCATGAAATGGCTGCATTGCACATGAGTCAATCTGTGTGACAAAGAATATGGCAGGTTTTGTACAGCCTTTGTAAAGACATTCTTCAATGCTGCCTTTTAAAATAGAAATGTTAAATCCTGTAACTAATCAACCTATGCCTTGTTAGAGGGCTGACATTTTCAATAATTCCTTTACAAAGGGTAGTGAGATGCATCAGATCCCCCAGTGGCCCCCAAGTAGGGACAGTGACAGTCAGCAGTTCTTTACGGACACCTGCTCCGTGGCAGGTTCTCCGCCGGCCCTGGCTGCGGGCGGCCCTCATCTAACAAGATGCTTCGGTCCATGGGTGGAGGACAAAGGCCTATGGGCTTGGGGAGCGAGTTCTTTCGTCTCCTACATGACCTTCATCTGCTCGCGTTTGCCATGAAGCGCATCTGGGTTGGAAGGAGATGGTGGTTTCCCACGGAAGTCTGGTCCCTAAGTGACGCCTCTGCTGCCTACATCAGAATCTCCCAGGCTTGCTCCACAGTGGTCCCGTCACGTGGTGCAGACTCAGGCGCTGTCTTGTGTGTGCAGAGGCAGGCTTGGTCTTGTGTGCTCTTGATCATGCACCTAGTCACATCTGTTCTACAGTGTTGCATTCTTCTAATTTCCATGCACATCTTTGCATAGGCGTGTTCCCATTGTTCCCATGCCAATAAGTGGTGTGCAAGGTTCCAGAGTGCGCCAGTATTTCTTTAGTCGGTGTCATGCTGTTGGATATTCAGGTTTTTTAACCTAGTGTAAATAACATTCACATTTCTAAAAACCAGAAGAGTGTTTGTGATTAAGATATCATCTTAGTGGATATTAAATTGCTGCATCTGATTTCATTTCTCTTTCCCAAATAGTCAGTTGTGTGGGCTAGTCTCATTCTGAAACTGCACACTCCCATCCCAGAGGTAGAAAGCGAGATCTCCTGCCTGCATTTCATGGAGCATGTGATTATGGAGGTGTCCAGTCCCAGCAAACAGACCCCACATTCTTTTCCTTCAGTGACTCAGACGCAATATGTGGAGAGTCCCAGACAGTATCGCTCCCTCACGTTCATTAACCTCCAGAGATTAAACATCACCTGATACACAGAACTGTGGGTTCCCCGTTTGGCTAAGCATCAGGTGCAGCCAGGTTCTTACCTAGGTGCACGTGACAAGGTGCTGCCAGATGCCACCAGCGCAGACAGTCAGTGAGCCCACCTCATCAGAGGGCACATGAGATCCCCAAATGAGAAAGAACTCTAAGGAGCCAAAATCTGCCAAGATGGGTACATTAAAGCTTGCAACTTTGCACGTGAGTGCACCCTCAGACTCAGCCAGTTTATTCTCCTTTGCAGTCCATTCTGAAAAGTCCAGCCAGATGATGGCTAAAGAGTAGAGAATGGAAGGTGGAAGGCGGTTGCTGCTTGCAGAAGAGGCACGCTGGCAGCATTGGCAGGGAGGAGGAGACTGGAAACTGAGTAGCAGATCCGAGAAACCAAAATGCTCAGCAAATGAGGGCAGGTGGCATGGAGCTACTTCCCTGGGTCCAAGAGCCTAATTACGTTATTGTTCCATAAGTTCATGGCCTGCGGTCATCAGGGAAAATAAAACACTGACTAGGGGTCGGTCTTTTCTGTTTAGAGGAGGCTCCCTGAAACCTCCCCCTCCCGGGTTCAAGCGATTCTCCTGCCTTAGCCTCCCGAGTAGCTGGAACTATAGGCGCCCGCCACCACTCCCGGCTAATTTTTTTTTGTTTTTTTGTTTTTTGTAGAGACGGGGTTTCACCGTGTTAGCCAGGATGGTCTCGATCTCCTGACCTCGCGATCCGCCCGCCTCGGCCTCCCAAAGTGCTGGGATTACAGGCGTGAGCCACCGCGCCCGGCCTCAGCTGGTTTTTCAAAAGTCATGGCGTGTAATTGTCAGAACAGTGAACTTCGGAGATCCACCGGAGGGGCGAGGCCACAGCTCGACCGCGAGCACCTGAGCATCCTGCACCGCCTGCGACGGCCGTCAGGGGGCGCGATGCCGCCTCACAGAACCTCAAGCGGCGCCCGGGTTCCGGCACAGACGGCCTGCGGCTCCAGGGGGCGGAGCCGAGCCGTCTCCTCAGGACCTACGCAAGAGGCGCCGTCATCCCTACAGGGACACCTGAGAGGGCCCAGCCTCCTCCTCCTCAGGACCCACTCGGGAGACGCCGCTGGCTCTCTAGGAACACCTGGGGACCGTGGCCAGGGACGACCCAGCCTCCTTCTCCTCAGCTCCTCAGGAACGACTGGGGAAGCTGTGGCTTCATGGTCCCCGAGGCTGCCCGAGGAAAGGTGAGGAAAAAGCTTTCTGTCCCGGCTCAGTGCGGAGGAGGCCGCGCTGCCTCGCGCTCCACTTTCTCAAGTTGTATTTATTTTATTTTACAAAGTGGCCCATCATTAAGTGGCTTTGTTATTCATTATTACAGCATACCTGAGTTGTTTCATTTTTTAATTTTTGACCAATTTGGGTTTGTTTGGGGTGGATCCGGGACAGAGAAGGGAGAAACCCTGAGGGCAACATGGAGAGCCCCAGGGAGACGCGCACCCCACGACTTGCTTTTATTTGCGTTCCAGTGGCTCGTTTTTCTTAGAGTGTTAAAGTACTTGAAAAATATTGAAGAGCAGATGTAGATGTGAGTTTTCACAACCGTGTTTTAAGTGTAAATACTGGACTTTGTCTGTTAAAAGGATTTTAGGTAAAATAAATTTAAGCGGAGTTTATTTCGGCAAAGGAATGGTTCATGAATCACGCAGGAAGCACCAGAACGGATGGGGCTTCGAGCTCTTAGGGTGGCCCCTAAGTGAGGCTCCTCAGTGGCTCCAGCTAGGCCACCGCCTGTTGTGGGGATGGTTCCCTCAGCGTCCCTAGTCATACAGCCAACTGGCTGCTGGGCTTTTTGGCATTGACTGTGGTTGGTTTGTTAATTTTTTTAAGTCAGTTCAAATGCCTCCAAGTTCGGTTTCTGTTTGCTTAGGGAAGGCCTCAGGCTAACCCCCGCCGTATTTGCTTTAACATGTCAAAACCATAATTTATTTTTCATTTTACTTTCCTGGCATTAATAGAAGTAAATTCACATTTGTGTGTTATTCAGAAAGTCGGTTTAATTGGCAACCTATTTGTGATGGTGCATAAAGTAATGTCTTTTAATCATTGGCATCTTAGATTAGATGAAATATGTTAACTCTCTTAAGCTTCGTTATTAACCCATAACAAGAGTTAAGTTTCTTTTTTTCTCCTAGGCTTTGACCATTTAAAATACACTCAGGCATCTCGTAACGATGTTATACTTTCTGAGAAATCTGTCCTTAGGTGATTTCATCTTTGTGTGAACACTGTAGAGTGTCCTTATAAAACTTAGATGGTGTAGCCCACTCCACACCTAAGTTACATAGTATAGCCTATTGCTCCCAGGCTACGAACCTGTACAGCATGTCTCTGTACTGAATGCTGTAGTCAACCATAACACCATGGTGATTGTAGATTGTGATCCCAGAATATCTGAGACAGGTCTCAGTCAATTTAGAAAGCTTATTTTGCCAAGATTAAGGACACGCCCATGACACAGCCTCAGGAGGTCCTGACGACGTGTGTCCAAGGTGGCCAGGGTAGAGCTTGCTTTTGTACATTTTAGGGATACATGAGACGTGTAAGATGTACAGTCATTTGGCCCAGTAAGGCGGGACAACTGGAAGCAGGAAGTGGGGGTGCTTCCAGGTCAGAAGTAGGTTAGAGACAAAAGGTTGCATTCTTTTGAATCCTTCATCAGCCTTCCACTGAATACACAATTTAGTCTGGCTCAATGAATCTGCATTTTTACATAAATAATAGGGCAGAGGAAGCAATCAGATATGCATCTGTCTCAGGTGAGGGATGACTTTGAGTGCTGTCTGTCCTTTGTCCAAAAGGAAATTCTTTGTGGGCAAATTGTGAGTGAGGTATGTAGCTTTTTATCTTTGTAGCTATCTTAGGAATAGAATGAGGGCAGGTTTGCCTGACATAGCTCCCAGCTTGACTTTTCCCTTGGCTTAGTGATTTGGGGGTCCTGAGATTTATTTTCCTTTCATGGTATCAGAACAGAGAAAAGGTAATGCGTTGAGCCATGAGCTTATGACAAGATGGCTAGGAAGGAATTTTTCAGCTCCATTTTTATCTCATGGGACCACCATCGTATGTATGCAATGCACGAGTGTAAAATCACATTTAGTTAAGTCAGCTTACACTAAGCTATGGACCCAGATGGTCCTGGGGCCTTTTTCCACTGGGAGATCTTTAAGGACCTTTCTTAGCTTTTCTATGCTAATTGGTATATTCATAGTTGCCTTATTTCAGTGCCCATTTTGTTAATGTGTATTTTTACTAGGAAATCACCCATTTTTTCTAGGTTTCCAGTTTGATGCAATTATTTGACTTTTAATTTCTCCTCTGTTTTTAGTTTTGTACATAATTTTCCTATCTACTTTTGCACTCTTTTTTCCATCAACAATGTTTTTAAAATATACTTTTTAGCTTTTTTTGAAGAATTGTTATGTTTGACAATTTTTTATGACCTAATCATGACCGTAAATGATTTTTAATTAATTTCAGCTTAATGTCTTTTGTAGGGCACAACTGTTAAAATACAAAATTACAACAAATGTGGGTTTGCAGATCTTAATTGGCTTTTTTTGTGGTTCTAGAATCAGGCAGCAGTCCAGACCAAAAATGGTTCAGAATGATCTGCCACACAACATGTGCGGGTTATATTTATAGCCAGAGAAAAAAAGTGACATACAGAAAACAGAAGTGAGGTATAGAGGTGGCTGGATTGGTTACAGACCTGGTTACAGCCCGGATTTGCCTTCTTGGAACTTGTTTTGAACAGCTGGCTGCCGGCCATTGACTGACACTCGGCTGATGTGATTGGCTGAACCGCCGCTATTTGTTACCATGATACATTCCCAAGTCAGATTTACAGTTTGTTTCTATACTAAATTAGGTTGCGATTCTTCTTGTTCTTCTTCTTTTTTCTTTTTTGAGGCGGAGTCTCGCTCTGTCGCCCAGGCTGGAGTGCGGTGGCGCGATCTCAGCTCACAGCAAGCTCCGCCTCCCGGGTTCATGCCATTCTCCTGTCCCGGCCTCCCGAGTAGCTGGGACTGCAGGCTGCCGCCACCAAGTCCGGCTAATTTTTTTGTATTTTTTTTTAGTAGAGACTGGGTTTCACCTTGTAAGCCATGATGGTCTCGATTTCCTGACCTCATGATCCACCCGTCTTGGCCTCCCAAAGTGCCGGGATTACAGGCGTGAGCCACGGCGCCCGGCCGCGACTCTTTACAAGGACTCCTTGGGAGGCTTCTAGAGCCCAAATGTTGTTTGATGTAAGAATTCCTCCCTTTTGGTCAGCCTCTCAATTTTGAGATATTGATCAAAACTTTGGGCATTGGTGTCACTCTTTGTTATCGTTGTAAATTGAGTTATTAGTACTTATTTGCTTTCAGTGTGGCATTTTCAAGTTTTATTTGGTCTCAGTGCCCTCTGGGCAATAGCAGAACACTGTGTTGTGTAAGGCGGAAATAGAGCAATAGAAAATAACAACTGATTTGTTAACATCAGATTACTTCAAGTTACTTGTTTTGGTAAGAATTAAAGCAGAGGGGACTTCTTTATGCTGACTCAGGTAGACTGGAATCTCTTCAGGGAAAAAGGGAGCTCTTTTGGGATCTGTCTACTTCCTTAAAGTTTCAGCTTCGTTGTGTGTCATTCAGCGTGAGTGTCTCCATTCTGGTTTTGCCTGCTCAGTGTGGCCTAATGCGGGAGTGGTGACCGAAACAATGACCTCCCGTAGTTTGTTCCACAGTTCTCCCCTTTTGGTTGGGTTCCTGCCTAGGTGAGGGTGTGACTAAAACCTTAGGGCATTAGCAGTATTCTCAGTAACTATCATTTTAGGGTTCCGGTCTTAGGGCATTAGCACTATTCTCAGTAACTATTATTTTAGGTTTCCGGTCTTAGGGCATTAGCACTATTCTCAGTAACTATCATTTTAGGTTTCCGGTCTTAGGGCATTAGCACTATCCTCAGTAACTATCATTTTAGGGTTCCGGTCTCAACACGTCATTTAAGAAGTCAGTAAAGCTTTCTTCTATTGTGACAGCATATTTAATACTGAGAAGGAAAAGAAAATTTTTATCTTGCGAATGTGAGCTTCCTCTAAATTATCAGGTCCAGAGAGGCGTGGGAATGAGGCAGCAGTCACGTCCCATTTCCCGCTTAGCTAAGTAATCATATCTTGAAGCTGCTTGCTATGTAGACTAGACTGACTGTCATCAGCTATAGATTAACCTAAGAGTGTCTTTGAATATTTTTTCCAGTGGCAAATATTTGCTTCTTTTGTATCGTAGCTGAAAGGAATGCTGGGAAACAAAATAAAGGCAAGCATTCATTAGAATAAGTGATCCAGTCACAATGAATCAATTTGAACTTTTTTTTTTTTCGCAGAGTCATACTTTGAAAACGTCCAGCCGTAAATTGAAATAGTCTCCAAAATGTGAATTTTTTTCCCTGGTTCTAAGATGACCAGCTTTCTTAGAGAGTGAACTACACCATAAGGAAAATGATATGACCATGTTTACACATATATGTTATCTTAACATAAAACATGTAAAAGGGGCATTTCTTTGAAAGTATATATTAGTCTGTATAATTTACTTTGCAGTATCATGAATGCTCTTATTTTTAAAAGTAGGAGTAGTTACTGTCAATTACTAATTTTTAGTACAAATAATTTAGCAGATATCTGAAAAAATTACAATTTTTAAATAGAGGTTTTATTTTAAATTAGTTTTAGATTCATACAGAAATTGGGAAGAAAATGCAGATTTCCCATGTAGACGCAACCTAGTTTCCCCGCTTTTTAACATACCAACATGTATCAGATAGGTTTAACATCTTTTTTTTTTTTTTTTTTTTTTTCAGACAGAGTCTCAACCAGGCTGGAGTGCAGTGGCGTGATCTCGGCTCATTGCAACCTCCGCCTCCCAGGTTCAAGCGATTCTCCTGCCTCAGCCTCCTGAGTAGCTGGTATTACAGGTGCCTGCCATCATGCCCGGCTAATTTTTGTATTTTTAGTAGAGATGAGGTTTCACCACGTTGGCCAGGCTGGTCTTGAACTCCTGATCTCAGGTGATCCGCCTGCCTCAGCCTCCCAAAGTGCTGGGATTACAGGCATGAGCCACCACTCCTGACCAACATCTTACATCATTTCTTGTCATACTTAATGACTGGATATTACTATATTATTAAATAAGCTCACATCTTATTTGGTTTCCCTTAGTTCTGCCTTTTTCTCTCCCAGGATCCTATCTAGGATCCCATAGGACATTTAGTCATCATGTCAGGCTCTTCTTGGCTGTGACAATCTCTCAGACTTTACTTCTGAGGACCTGGAACAGTGTTAGGAGGATTGGTCAGGTATTGTGTAGAATGTCCTCCATTGTGGTTTACTTGGGGTTTTTCTCATAATCAGCCTGGGTTTAGGGGTTTGGGGGAAGCAGAGCAGATGTGTAGTGTGTCCACACAAAGAGTCAAAGACTGTAAAATATTTTAAGAGATGTATTCTGAGCCAAATATGAGTGACCATGGCCCTTGACACAGCCCTCAGGAGACCCTGAGAACATGTGCCCAAGGTCGTTGGGGTGCAGGTTGGTTCTATACATTTTAGGGAGATAGGAGACATCAATCAAGTGTATTTAAGATATATATTGGTTCGGTCCAGGAAGGTGGGACAACCCAATGGATTAGGGTGGGGGGGGGGGCTTCCAGGTTATAGGTACATTTAAAATTTTTCTGATTGGCAGTTTGTTGAAAGACTTACTATCAATAGAAAGGAGTGTCTGGGTTATGATAAGGGGTTATGGAGACCAAGGTTTTATCATGGAAATGAAGCTTCCAGGTAGCAGGCTTCAGAGAGAATAGATTGTAAATGTTTCTTATCAGATTTAAGGTTGTGTTGATGTTAA
The DNA here is from genome assembly GCF_000001405.40 of Homo sapiens. Lineage (NCBI taxonomy): Eukaryota > Metazoa > Chordata > Mammalia > Primates > Hominidae > Homo > Homo sapiens. The sequence continues at coordinate 25,359 of NC_000007.14, read as the reverse complement.
ATGCTGATTGGCTTTTCCTGAATTCCAAAAGGGAGGAGGGCATAATGAGGCATGTCTGACCACCTCTTTCCCATCATAGCCTGAACCAGTCTTCCAGGTTAACTTTGGTGTCCCCTGGTGGAGAGGTGGTTGGGGGAAAGATCTTTGAATTTTATTTTTGGTTTGCAAGTGCTAGTCTAGTCACTTCATGCTCTCAAGATGTGTTATCACCATTAATGTTAACTTTTATCACTTGGTTGAGGCAGTGTTTTCAGGTTTTTCACTGTAAAGTTACTTTTTTCCCATGTCTATATTGTATGTATGCTTTTGGAGGAAGTCATCATGCAGAGCTCATACTTAAAGGAGTGGGGAGTTAGCCCCACCTCCTTGATGGCTGTCTGTATCAGGTATTTGGAATTCTTCTGTATAAGAGATTTCTATTCAGCCCATTTGCATATCTGTTTAATCATTTATTTATACCAGTATGGGTCCACAGATAGTTACTTTAATCTTTTGGTTGTTATCTAATTGTACAGTATTTTGTTGCTCTTTGTTCATACCTGTGGCCATTGGTAGCTCTTTCCACTGGCTCCTTTTACATAATTTCATGTTTTTTTTATAATTTATTTCTGTTACTTCAAAAGTACCCTGGCTCATATATTTTCTGTCCCAGTCCTAGTTTCAGCTATTTCTTCTAATAGCCCTGATTTCTTTTGTTAGAGAATGGTATGAAAAACTTACATCTGGCCACTAAATGTGGTCATTGCATCATGACACTTACAGCTGACAGTGCAAAGAAATATATGTGTGTCTTCTAACTTATATGTACCCACTTAATTATAAAGGTTTCTATGTGGAACCATCTATGTATATGTTAAGCTAAATGTGAGTTTATACTTACGTTGTATATATATATTCTGACTCATTATGACAGAGATCATTCTAGGCTTCCCTATTTTTTATCTGTAACTTCTCGCTGTAATAGTGAGGAACCTGAATGTGAGTTTATACTTACGTTGTATATATACATTCTGACTCATTATGACCGAGATCATTCTAGGCTTCCCTATTTTTTATCTGTAACTTCTCGCTGTAATAGTGAGGAACCTGAATGTGAGTTTATACTTACGTTGTATATATACATTCTGACTCATTATGACCGAGATCATTCTAGGCTTCCCTATTTTTTATCTGTAACTTCTCGCTGTAATAGTGAGGAACCTGAATGTGAGTTTATACTTACGTTGTATATATACATTCTGACTCATTATGACCGAGATCATTCTAGGCTTCCCTATTTTTTATCTGTAACTTCTCGCTGTAATAGTGAGGAACCTGAATGTGAGTTTATACTTACGTTGTATATATACATTCTGACTCATTATGACCGAGATCATTCTAGGCTTCCCTATTTTTTATCTGTAACTTCTCACTGTAATAATGAGGAACCTGGCTCCTACTATCTGCCATTTATTTCATCCCTTGTACCATTGGGAACAAGGAATTCATTCTTGATCAAGATTCCAGGTTGGGACTTAATAAGAAATATATGTTTGGTCTGTGTCTGCAGTTCCTGGTACAGAGCTTCTAAAACTATTATAATTTCCTGAACAGTAGGGGTGCTAGGAGCATCTTGTGTTCTAATATTTGGTCTTTGGCCCTGGTTCCTGACGCAGAGTTCCTAAATCTCTTGGAATCTCCTGGATAATAGGAATGGCTTCTGTTCTAATAAGGACACTCTGTGGGTTCCTGGATGGTTTCAGGATGGGGATGGTCACCAGAAAGACCAAGCCATGATAAGAAGGTTGTAACTTTTAGCTTAACATGCAATCCTTTGAGGGTGTGAAGGGACTGGAAATTGAGTTAATAATCCGTCATGTCTACATGATGAAGCTTCCATAAAAATTCCTAAAATATGGAATTTGGAAAGTTCCAGATCAAGGCTGACAGATTTGATGTCTAGTGAGGGCTCATCTATCATAGATAGTGCCTTCTAGCATGTCGTGACATGGCAGAATGGGGAAACGGGCTCCTAGATGCTTTTATAAGGGCACTGGTTTCATTCATGAGGACAGCACTCTCATGATCCGATCACCTCTCGGTTACCTCTGAATACCATCCCTTTGGGGATTACATTTCAAAATAGGAATTTGGGGTGGGGGTGTACACACATTGAGACCATAATAACTAGTAAACATAAGTAAGTATTTCCTAGTTCCATAAGCCATCATAGCAAATTGTCAAACCTGAAGAGGGGGTGTAGGAATGCCTAGTTTCTAGCCAAGTCATATAGAAGTTTGGGTAAACTGGGGATTCACAACTTGTGATTGGCATCTGAGGTTGTGGACAGTCTGGTGTTACTAAGCCCTTAACCTGTAGGGTGTATACTAACTCCAGGTAATCAGTGTCACAGTTGAATTACAGGATACCCAATTGTTTTCCAGAGAGTTGGAATATTGGTTGGTATGGGAAACACCCCCCACCCCCCACAATTTGCTGTTAAAAGTGGAGTGTTGATAGTATAGAGGAAAATCATGGTTATTTTTCTTTTTACAGATATAGTAGTTTCAAAATTAACTATTATCCCTATGGGAAATAACTTTATAAAATAGAGTCCACTGTTCGTGTATATAGTACGTTTTGTTTTTAGTGTATGGATTCTACTCATTTCCAGCTCAGCACCTTTGGCCCACCACTTGCAACATACATTGGTAATACAGTTAGATTCTTGGTTGCACTCTGTATTTTGTCCTTATATACTTCCACATCCTAAATAATTTAATTTGTGTAGCTTGTGATTTGTTCTTTGTGCATTAAAATTCTGTGGGTTTTATCAAATGCATAGTGTCAGATATCCACTACTGAAGTAGCATACAGAATACTTCAAATCCCCACCCCAGACAGTCACTGATCTGACTATCATCTCTTTGGTTGTGCTTTTTCCAGAATGTTATATGAATGGAGTCATATAATGTATAGCATCTTCATACTGCCACCCTTTACTTAGCAACATAGATGCAAGATTCATTCATTTGTTTTCATGGATTGACAGTTCATTCCTTTCTGTTGGTGAATGGTATTCCATTGCATGGTTGTACTTCAAATTGATTATGCATTCAGCTATTGAAGAACGTTCTGACTACTTCAAGTTTTGGCCATTATGAGTAGAGTGGCTCGTATATAATTACATGCTAGTTTTTGTTTGAACATAATTTTTCAAAGCAGCTGTCTAAACATACACAATTTAGGGGTGCATTTGTTGGATTGTAAGGTAACACTTGTTTATCTTTGGGAAAAACTGTCAAACTATTTCCCAAAGTGGCTGTACCCATTCATGCATTCTGCCAGTAATGAATGGCCGTACCTATTGTTCTTCAACCTCCAATTGTTACTGTTGAGCTTTTTTAAGAGTCCCACAGTTGTACTAGGTGTGCGGTGATATCTCAGCATTATTTTAATTTGCAGTCTCCTAATGAGATATATTGAGCATCCTTTTGTGTGATTATGTGCTATCAGTATATTTTCTTTTTTTTTTTATTTTATTGAGATAGAGTCTCGTTCTGTCACTCAGGCTGGAGTGCAGTGGCGTGATCTTGGGTCACTGCAACCTCCACCTCCGATGTTCAAGCAATTCTCTTGCATCAGCCTCCCAAGTAGCTGGGATTACAGGCACCCACCACCATGCCTGGCTAATTTTTTTGTATTTTTAGTAGAGAGGGGGTATCACTATGTTGGCCAGGCTGATCTCAAATTCCTGACCTCAGGTGACTCACCCGCTTCAGCCTCCCAAAGTGCTGGGGTTATAGGCATGAGCCACCACACCTGGCCTGCTATCTATATATTTTCTTTGGCTGGATGTCTGTTCAGATATTTACCCAGTTTTATTTGGGTTTTTAGTTTTCTTAGTGTTCGTTTGAAGAGTTCTTTGTGTATTTTCAATACAGTTTTTAAAATCACGTTTGTATTTTGTAAATATCTTCTGACAGTGTGTCTTGTCTTTTTGTTCTCTGAATAGGGTTTTTCATAGTAGAAAATTTAGTTTTATAAAGTCTGTTCTCAGTATTTTCACGAATTGGCACTTGATGCTGTGTGTTAAAACTCAACACCAGATCCAATGTCTCTTAGGTTTTCTTTTAGATTATTTATAGTTTTGCATTTGAAGTTGTAGTCTCTGGACTATTTTGAGTAGGTTTTTGTGTTTTACTTTGTGTATAGAGTCATTTCATTCTATATGGCTTCCAAATAATTCTTCCATCACCATTTATGGGAAGGGTATGGATATACTGGCCTTTATTTCGGTTTGAATTTCCAAAATTATGACACTGAATAAACTGAATATTGAATTTTATAGGTATTTCAGGACAGCCAGGAGGGGGCGCACATCCGCCGAGAAACTGTGAGCAAGAGCGTCTGTGCTGAACCATGGCGCCACCAGAGGGCGCGCGATCCCGCCCCAACCAACTTCCCGCTGAAGTGCCAGAAGCAGCGAGGAGCTTCAACTTCCTCAGGGCAGCACGGGGGTCGTGTTAATTTGGTGTTCTTCATTGGTGAGTAAAAAGCTCCTGTCCACGGCCCTGAGTGCCAAGGAGTGAGTCTTTAGAGCACTCAGCAGAGGAAGAAATTCATCTAGAAAAATAAAGCCCCCAAATCTCACTATTTGGAGTACACCCTAATATCATTGTCAACGTCCAAGACACAGTGGCTGCTAATATATATTCTTACAGTGGCCTCTAATATAATAATCACACTGTGCTCTACATTACTATGATATCTACACCGTGCCCTAACACCTATATAATATTCACACCATGCGCTAACACTGATGTAATCCACAACATCGCTTCCAATACTAATGTAATAATATCCACACCATGCCCTATCACTGATCTAGTCCACACCATCGCTTCCAGTGCTAATGTAATAATATCCACACCATGCCCTATCACTGATCTAATCCACACCATCGCTTCCAATACTAATGTAATAATATCCACACCATGCCCTATCACTGATCTAGTCCACACCATCGCTTCCAATACTAATGTAATAATATCCACACCATGCCCTATCACTGATCTAATCCACACCATCTCTTCTAATACTAATGCAATAATATCCACACCATGCCCTAACACTGATGTAATATCTGCACCATTCCCCAACACCAATACAATATCCACACCGTTCCCTAACACTAATCTAAATATCCATACCATGCCCTAACACTAATATATTGACACAATGGCCTCTAATACTAATAAATATAATAATATCTACTAAGTGGACTCTGTTGACATTGAGACTTTGTTAAGGGTTTTACAGCTTTGGCTGAACTATAGCCTCTGTAATGGATTTTGATGATGTGTCTGCTTTCCTGGCATGGTATTGACATGGTTGTTTTAAAAAGTAACTTATTTTCCAATAATGTCATATGTCTAGGCAACTTCCAGTAGTAGTACAAAGTACAGCTTGTTTCTTCCCTTAGATTCCCCAACAGTTATTGCTGTACCAGATTTGCAGTGTCCCACAAAATACTCCGGTATATTGTACTGAAAGCATGGACACTCTCCCAGGTAACTACCACATAACCCCTAGATCAGGAAATCAGCGTTGTTCCTACATGATAATTCGGTCCACAAACTCACTTCAGTTTTACCTCATGCCACACTTGGGAGTATAATGTGTTTTTTTTTTTTTTTTTTATTAGGATCCAGTTTTCTTTTCCTGGAACTGTTCCCCAGACTTTCCTGCATATTTATGACCTTGACACATTTAAAGAGCATACAGGTTTTTGTTTGAACAGTTGTTTTCAGGTCTTTGGGGTATATACCTAGGAATGGAATCATTAACTCATATGGTAAATCTATTTGTAACTTTATGAGGAAACATCAAATTATTTTACACGTAGGCTGCACCATTTCATATTGTCACAAGCAGTGTTTAAGAGTTCAAGTTTCTGCACATCTTTGTCAACACTTGTTATTTTTTAGTATAACTATTCTTGTGTGAGTTAAGGGTTATCTCTTTATGGTTTTAATTATGGTAATGATGTTAAGCATCTTTTCATGTGCTTGTTGGTGAAGTGTGTCTTTTGTCAATTTTTAGATTGGGTTGTCTTTGCTATGGAGTTGTAAAAGTTCTTTATACATTCTGGATAACAGACACTGATGAAGTATCTAATGTGCAGACATTTTCTTCCGTTTTATAGGTTGTTGGAACGTAATAAGAGTTAATGTGTGGTCTCTGCTGCAGTGTCCTGAAACAGAGCGCTAAGCCTTGGGAATGTACGAAGTAATGTGTCTTTCGTACGCTAATGAAATGATTGATGGCTGGGGGCACCTGGACAGCCTCAGTGGGGCTGGCTGCCAAGGGAAGCAACCTTGTCATGAGAGAATTTGAAATTTCTTCCCCCGTCCCGTCTCTGTGAAGGGGAGAGGTGCTGATGGTTGAGTTGATCACCTATGGCCACAGACGTAACCAATCTGCCTGTGTAATAAAGGACAGGGTTGGGAGAGCATCTGTGTTGCTCTCCCAACACAAGAGATACTGGGAGGATCATATCTGGCGAGGGCATGGGAGGCCTGCATTCCTTCCATATACCTCACCTTGTGCATCTCTTCATCTGGCTTTTCATTTGTAGTGTTTAAAAGATCCTTGGTAATGAGTCAGGAATAGTAAGTACACTGCTTTCATGGGTTGTGTAATGTGATGTAGCAAATTGCTGAACCCAATAAGGGTGTTGTGGGAGTCTCCAATCTGTAGGAAAGTCAGACAGAAGGTAACCTGGGAACCTACTGTTTGTGGTTGGCATCTTAAGTGGTTACAGTCTTGTAACTTAGTACCCATATTTTCTTAAAGAAGAAATGAATTCGTTTTACCATTTTGCTGTTCCTGCACTTAGCTCTTTAGGAATGCAATTATAAGCTTTACTGTCTCTCCACCAGACACTTCCTATACTGCAAACTTTTCCAACTGTGTGATTACTTATAAGTTCCAGGGACCAAACCTTGAAACAAACTGGCACTTCCATATCTCTCCCCCACCAGTAGATTGGCAGCAGACAACAGTCAATTTACAACCTGGCTCTGCCCGTGGTGGTGCTAGCAAGACCACCTAATGGAGAAAACATCAGAGCATGTCCCATAGACCCCGCACCTCCTCACCTCATCCCCTGCATGCCATTCTGGCAAGTCCGAAAGCCCAGCTTTCTGCCCAGAAAGTGGAAGCGCTTCCCTTAAGGCAAGAGCCTGTATGTTCCCTTCAGCTAAGCTCTGGCATAAAGTCACTTTCTTTTTACCATCCTTGTGTTTGTCATTTAAATTTGCAAGCGACAAGGGGCATGACGTGTATTCCTAGGACTGAGCCCTTAGCCTGTGGGGTCTGATGCTTTCTCCATTTACTGTCACAATTGGATTGCACTGTAGGACACGCAGCTGGTACCCAAGATTTGGTCTGTGTGGGGAAAAAACCCATGTATCTGGTAACAGAAGTGTTCTGTGAGTGTTGAGAGTATACTATAAGACAGTTGTTTTTCCTATTATAACATTTTGTCTTTCAACTTTTTTCTTCATGTCTTCTGAGACGTAAAAGTTGTGAATTTTGAGGAAATAAATTGATTTATTTTTCCTTTTGTGGTCTGTGCTTTTGGTGTCAGATGTAGGAAACTATTGCTACGTGTAAGGTCATGAATGCTTAACTGTACGTTTTCTTCCAGAGTTTTTAGTTTTCACCTGTTTTGGTCTTTGATCCATTGTAAGTTAATTTTTTATGTGGTATGAGGTAAGGATACAATTTCATTTCCCTTTATGTGGATAGCAAGTTGCCTTACATCACTTGTTGAGGACAGGATTCTTTCCCCAATTTACTGGTAATGGACCTTGTCTAAAATCAGTTGAGCATAGAGGTATTGTTTTCTGTCTGGACTCCCAATTCAATTCAGTTGATCTTTCTGTTTATTCCTGTGCAAGGATCCCACTGTTTTTATTACTGTTCCTTTGTAATAAAATTTGAAATTGGGATGTGATCAGGATCAGCTTATCCACTTCTGTCCCAAGGCCTTTGGGATTTTTGTAGGAATAACATCGAATCCACGGATTGCTTTGTGTACTTTGGGAAACTTAACAATGTGGTCTACAAATCCACAAATAAGATACATTTTTACATTTACTGGAAGTTTAATTTCCTTAAGTAATGTCTTATAATTTCCCTCATCTAAGTCTTGTCGTTTCATTCCATTTATTCCTAAGTATAATATTGCTATTGGTATTGTTTAAGGTAGAATTTTCATAATTTGGTGTAGAGATTATTCATTCCTAGCATATACATATAAAATGGAATGTTTGGCCAGGCACCCGGGCTCATACCTATAACCCAAGCAGGTTGAGAGGCTGAGGAAGGGTTAGGGTTAGGGTTAGGGTTGGGGTTGGGGTTGGGGTTAGGCTTAGGGCTTAGGGCTTAGGGCTAGGGCTAGGGCTAGGGCTAGAGTTAGGGTTGGGTTAGGGTTGGGTTAGGGTAGGGTTAGGGTTAGGGGTTAGGGGTTAGGGTTTGGGTTCGGGTTTGGGTTATGGTTAGGGTTCGGGTTCAGGTTCGGATTTAGGGTTCAGGTTTATGGTTCGGGTTAGGGTTCAGGTTAGGGTTTGGGTTGGGTTTAGGGTTAGGGTTCAGGGTTAGGGTTTGGGTTAGGGGTTACGGTTAGGGGTGAGGGTGAGGATGAGGATGAGGGTTAGGGTTATGGTTAGGGTTAAGGGTTAGGGCTAGCGGTTAGGGGTTAAGGGTTAGGGGTAGGATAAGGGTAAGGATTAGGGTTAGGGTCAGGGTAAGGGTAAGGGTAAGGATTAGGGTTAGGATTAGGGTAAGGGTAAGGGTTATGTTAGGGTTTTAGGGTTAGGGTTTTCGGGTTAGGGTTAGGGGTTAGGGTTAGGGTTAGGGTTAGGGTTAGGATTAGGGTTAGGGGTTAGGGTTAGGGTTAGGATTAGGGGTTAGGGTTAGGGTTAGGGTACTGTAAATAATTTCACATTATTATAATAAATTATTATTTGTATTACACTATTACATAATGTAAAGGCTATTAAGACATGTTTGTCTTCAAAGAATGGCCTTGGTTTCTGTGGGCAGTGCCTCCTCATGGAAGGGTAATGCATTCCTGCTAAATCATGGACAAAACGGGCTTCCAGGAGCTACAGGCTGCAGCAGCAGCTCCTCCTCTAAGTCCTTCACTGCTTCAAACTCTTGTTGACTTTGTAAGCTTCTTTCAGTCTAGTTTTTTCAACAGAGCTAGTATTTCATGAGGTTCTACTACATACCAGGTTCCAGAAATCTAAATGCCTTTTGTTTGTTATTTTTCACTAAATACAAATCACAACTCTCTCCTCATTACTCACACAACAAAATTTAGCTGAGGGAGATTGAGTGACTTTCCTAGGGTCACATAGCTACTAAGAGCAGAGCCGTGTTTAGATTCATGTGGGAATATTGAACACAGAAATGAACCAGTGGAAACATCCTGTGTTCCAAAAGCCTACTCAAGCCATTTGTTCTTATTTTAAGGAAAATCTTTATGCTAATTTTAAACTCCAAATACTTATGAATGGCAGAGATCTACAGATTTGATTCTGATGTAAGAAATGATGGTCACCAGCCGGTTACTGCTACCACCCCACAACCCCGAGCATACTGGACGAATGTCTAAGCCTTGTGGTTAGTGGGGACAATGCTGGTGGAGTCTGAAGTTGTCATGCAGTGACTCATGCAAGCTTAGGCAGATTTGGTGATATATGACACAGAGATGCAAAGAAATGTTGTAGCTGACACACACAGGCTGGCTCTGGGAGATGCAGAAGGAGCACGTCACCCAAAATAGAGCCAGACAGACATCCTTAAGGAAGGAGCAAAGGGGCTGCATCTTAAAGAATGTAGAAAGGATTTGTCATGAGAGATGGGGCAGGAAGTTCTTCAGAGGCAGAGGGAGAGCATGAGAATGTTGGGAAGGGAGGAGAGATTCTTGCACATCTGGGAAGCTGACAATCCATCAGCATGGCCAGAAGGAAAATAAGGAGGAGGAGCAGAAATAGATGAGGCTGGATATAGAAGCAGGGCTGAAGCTGTGTCGATTGTGGTAAAGAGTTGTGATTCTATCCAGAACGCAATAGGTAGCATTCTAAACAGAGATCTTTTAAAACAAGAGTCAGCAAGTATTTTCTGCAGGGGGCTAAATGTTAAATATTTTAAGTTTTCCAAGCCATATGGTCTCTCTCTCTCAATGACTCAGCTCTTCCATTATACCATGAAAGTAGCCAGAGACATTATGTAACACATGTATTGGCTGTGTCCCATTACAACTTTACTTACAAATGCAGACTGTGTCAGACATGGTCCATGCATGGTAGTTTGCCACACCCTGTTTTAGAAAGCTCAGGTTTATGATGTGATGGAGAATGCCTACAAGAGCTCTTGTTTTAAATGGTAGAGTGAACATACACTGGAATTCTATCCTGCTTGACCCAAGCTCTTGATAGCGAAAGGTAGAAAAGATAGATGGTAAATAGATAGATAGATGATAGATAAAGAAAATACATAGCTGTTCCAGAAAACAGAAATGGATAACTTCATGAACCAAAAGCAGAGTAATATGCTTTAGAAAGGAAGCAGGCCGGAAAACCCACAGTTGCAAAACAAATAGAATTTCCAACTGCCTCTTGTAGCCCCTTCCTGGAAGTAGTCACAGCCCAGGGTGTTCGACTACTTCCTCTGTTTTTTGTTTGTTTGTTGTTTGCTTTTCTGTGGGGTTTCTGTTGTTGTTGTTTGCTTTTAAAAAAAAATTCCCTTTCCCTGCTTTTTTGTCACAGCAGCCTTTGTCACTTCAAACACCGCAAGTGTTCTTTAAAAAAAATTATATCAACCTTTCAATTAAAATGCAACATGTCTGAAAGTTGGTATCTGGAGAGGTGAGTTGGACAAAGGAGCCCTTGTTACTGCACGTTTTCATTCTTCAAATTTCACCTTGCACGCAGTAACAGACAGTGCACAAAGCCACTTCCTTATGGACGGAAATTCTGAAATCCTTTTATGCCTGGCCTTTCCATCCTTCAACTTCCCCTCTCCCACGCTGTGAATGATTGTATTGGACATTTTTGTTTTAATGTCAGTGACAGGGGAACACAGGTAGCTCTAATATAGCTGTGACCCAGATGCTTCTGTTTCTAGCATGTATTTATTTTGTAGCAAACATTTACATCCATGATGTTTCACTGTCTTCTGAAAATAATTAGGCAATATCTCATCTGAGGTAGGATGTTTCTAGGGGTTGTGTTCTGAGGGAGGAAAACTAATCTGTTCTCTTTCCACTGCATTCTAGGAACAGTAAGAGGACCTTGTGCATGAATAATTTGTTTCCACACTACAGAGTGGGTAATAAGCAGACTAGTAAAAACAATTCTGCTTCACTTCAATAACAGCCTCCTCCAACTCATTTTTTCTCAACAAACTTATTTTTCCAGCAGAAGAATCCCAGACTTCTTAGAGAACCCAGTGACTTTTTGCACCTTAAATCTGTGAAATCCTCATGTTTTCTTCTGCCGTATCCATAGTTCAAACAAAGATGAGGCAAAGCTAGACGCATTCCTGAAGGAACCCAAGAAATTCCTCTCTTTCTTTCTCTGGAATGAAATGAATTCTCTAGACCACCAGTTCTAACCTTCAAAAACCAAACCTGTTTGTGAGATCTTCAAATACTACTGTAGACCCCAGTGTTTATTCATTAAATTTTTTAAATATTTGTTTTATTTGGAATCAAAGTATTTGTAATTTTAGTGTTTGTATTAATATCAGGGAGAAATGTTTAAATCTGTCTTATGCCATATGTGCCTCTGGCTTATTGCCCAATTAATTGTAGTCTCAGGCTAAACTTTGGTTTCTGTCTTTAATTTTTGTCAGAAGAAATATAACTGATCTCAAAACATCTGCTTTTATTGTAGGGGCTCGTGCTGCCGTCTCCATTCTTCTCTCTTTTCTTGCAATCTGGGTGGAAGTTCTTTAATATGAACATTTCAACCACCTTCATTCTACCATGTCCACTATCAGCACATTCAAACTGATCCAGCCAAGGCTGTCATCTTAGGCCAGGGATTTTTTAGGAATCTATTTTGCTGTGATGCGGCTGGCACCCCTTTGACTCACTGTATCACCCCAGGGTTCTTTTCATTTCAGAAGCCCAAGAGGGCAGAAAAAGAAGTAGGTGAGCAATTAAACACTCTGAGTCAGGAGCGTCTCCCCTTGCGTTAAGCAATGTTGTAGAACATCAATGTTCTACATCGATGTTGGTGACCTTGGTACCATTTTGTCCACTTGATTGGAAAAGCCAGTCAATAATTTCAGGTCACTGTTGGCCTTAGAAGAAGAGCCCAAAGGCAACAAGCAAAGGCGCTGGTGTCCAGTCGCCTTCTAGAAGCATTTTCACTTTCCCTTAAGGTTTCCCTTGATGAACATAGAAGTACTGTATGTAGAATTGACCCAGTGCTGCCCTGGCAACTTTGTATATTAGGCCAAATTTACATTTCTTACCTTTATGAGAGGCACCCTGGTAGGCTAGTGGAGTTACACGCAAAGTCTGATCTCAGCTGCACTGTCCAGAAATGCAACACGGTCCAATCAAATAACATTCTCTGAGCCTGTTTCTTTAGCTGTGAAAGAAGAATAACATACCCATCTAAAAAGGCAGCTTATTGTATTTGATTGGTCTTTTATTTTCTATGAAACTGTGTTTAACACAGTAATTATTTTCATTTGTGTACTACATTTGTGTTGTGTTTTTGGTTTTAGTTTTGTTTTTGAAATGGAGTCTTTTTTTTAGTGGTTTTTTGTTTTGTTTTGTTTTGTTTTGTTTTTGAGATGGAGTCTTTCTATTGTCACCCAGGCTAGAGTGCAGTGGCGTGATCTCCGCTCACTGCAACCTCCACCTCCCAGGTTCAAGTGGTTCTCCTGCCTCAGCCTCCTGAGAAGCTGGGATTACAGGTGCCCACCAACATGCCCAGCTAATTTTTAAAATATATTTTTAGTAGAGATGGGGTTACAACATGTTGCCTGGGCTGGTCTCAAACTACTGACGTCAAGTGATCCACCTGCCTTGGCTTCCCAAAGTGCTGGGATTATAGGCATGAGCCACCGCGCCTGGCTTGTTTTAAAATAAGGGTTTCTTGGCTAGGCATGGTGGCTCACACCTGTAATCCCAGCACTTTGGGAGGCCAAGGTCAGTGGATCACCTGAGGTCAGGAGTTCGAGACCAGCCTGACCAATATGGAGAAACCCTGTCTCAACTGAAAATACAAAATTAGCCAGGCGTGGTGGTGCATGCCTGTAATCCCAGCTACTCAGGAGGCTGAGGAAGGAGAATTGCTTGAACCCAGGGGGCAGAGATTGCAGTGAGCTGAGATCGCACCATTGCACTCCAGCCTGGGCAACGAGCAAAACTCTGTCTCAAAATAAAAAAAAGATTTCTTAAAATGATATTTTCAGTATTTTATAGATGATGTGTAAGCAGCAAGCTTAATAGGATGTTACCCGACACTTTGCGAGACTGGCAGCTGATTTGATCCAGATGTCTCTAATTCTTTTTTCTTTTTCTTTTTCTGTTTTTTTTTTTTGACAGAGCCTTGCTCCGTCCCCCATGCTGGAGTGCAGTGGCACGATCTCGGCTCACTGCAACCTCCACCTCCCGGGTTCAAGCGATTCTCCTGCCTCAGGCTCCCGAGTAGCTGGGATTACAGGCGCGCGCCACCATGCCCAGCTAATTTTTTGTATTTTTGGTAGAGACAGCATTTCACCATGTTGGCCAGGCTGGTCTCGAACTCCTGACCTTAGGTGATCTGCCTGCCTCGGCTTCCCAAAGTGTTAGGATTACAGGCGTCAGCCACTGTGCCTGGCCCAGATGTCTCTAATTCTAACATGAGATGTATTGCAGGATCATAGCAGAGTGAGTTGCTGATGTATCCAGAAGGAAACGAGCATGGAACACTCACGACAGCTGTCCTGAGAAGTGTGTGTGTGCTGTGCTTGAATATCTCACTGCTCATTTATACACAGGCTTTCTGGTGACTGAGTTAACAGTATCTGTTTCATAAATAATGTAGCCCTCTTTCTTTCTTTCTCTCTCTCTCTTTTTTTTTTTTTTTTTTTGAGACAGGGTCTTGCTCTGCTACCCAGGCTGGAGTGCAATGGTGCAGTCTCAGCTCACTGCAACTTCACCATGCCTGGCTAATTTTTTCTTTTTTTTTTTTTTGAGACGGAGTTTCGCTGTTTTTGCCCAGGCTGGAGTGCAATGGCACAATCTCGGCTCACCACAATCTTTGCCTTTTGGGTTCAAGGGATTCTCCTGCCTCAGCCTCCCGAGTAGCTGGGATTACAGGCATGTGCCACCACACCCGGCTAATGTTGTAGTTTTAGTAGAGACGGGGTTTCCCTATGTTGGTTAGGCTGGTCTCAAACTCCTGACCTCAGGTGATCTACCCGCCTCGGCCTCTCAAAGTGCTGGGATCACAGGCGTGAGCCATCACTCCTGGCCTAATTTTTGTATTTTTAGTAGAGAGAGGGTTTCACTCTGTTGGCCAGGCTGGTCTCGAATTCCTGACCTCAAGTTATCTGCCTGCCTTGGCCTCCCAAACTGTTGGAATTACAGGCGTGAACCACCATGCCTGGCCAGCTCTATTTCTTTAAGCCTACATGTTTTGCACTTGTTAAAAGTATTTGAACATACAATTACTCAGCTTCCCTTGTTTACGCGTGAATTTTGTAGAATCTTAAATATTTTTTCCAATCTAAGCTTTATTTTATCCCGTTTCTTCTATATTTGTATAACTTTAGGCGGCTATCTTCATTGAAAGTTTTTTCTCAAAAGCCTTAAGATAGAACGTAGTTCTTGGCAGCAATTTGAAAGTTATTTGAGGAGAAGGGGAGACTTACAATGATGATTCAAATGAAGGAAACTAAAAAGTAATGAAGCAAGGCAGAGGAAAAAGCAGTACTCACTTGAGCACATCCCAAAAGAATAACATTTCAAATGTAACTAGAAAAAAGTATGCTGAAGTTCGCAATACAGAAATAATTATTAATAAGATAGCTTTAAAGCCCTGCTCAGCTTTTGAATGTTGGGTTAGGGTTAGGGTTAGGGTTAGGGTTAGGGTTAGGGTTAGGGTTAGGGTTGTTAGGGTTAGGGTTGTTAGGGTTAGGGTTAGGGTTAGGGTTAGGGTTGTTAGGGTTAGGGTTAGGGTTAGGTTTAGGGTTAGGGTTAGGGTTAGGGTTAGGGTTGTTAGGGTTAGGGTTAGGGTTAGGGTTAGGGTTAGGGTTAGGGTTAGGGTTAGGGTTAGGGTTAGGGTTAGGGTTAGGGTTAG